>NC_000010.11:49385519-49537034 GCF_000001405.40 Homo sapiens
ATCATATTCTCCTTCTGTCTCCAGAAACCACCTTTGCAACACAGATTGCCACACTGTGTGTGTGTGTGTGTATGTGTGTGTCCCACCTGCTGGAGAGGGACCCTCCTCGAGAGCAGGGAGACCTCAGGCGTTAGCAGAACATGCAGGGGACACCCTAAGGGTGTGTCTCCTACTTCCTATTATCAGAAAAAAAAGCCTACAGCCTGCACCTATGCCTCCACCTCCCAGACCCCCTGTGACAAACGAGCCCCCTAACACTCACTCCCCCAGACGCACGCTGGGGCCCAGCTCTGTTCCTGGCCAACACAGCTGTGCAGCCTGATCACTGAAGGAATAGGTTTGGGGCCAGAATCTGAGAAACACTGGATAAGCCCATTCCAGTGAGTCTGCTCAGAAATCCCAAGGGCCAATCCACAGAGGCTCCTCTCTCTGAGTCTGACAAAATGCCCCTAACGATTTCTATCCTTCAGATGAAACAACAGCCACCGAGAAGAGAGCACATACTGGAAAACCACAAATCCTAACGGCTCAGACCTCTGGCATCAGGAGACCTGGGGAAGGCAAGTGGCCCAGTCGCATGCATGGAGAGGGAGCTGGGAGCAGGGATGATTGTCCCACACAGGCCCCACCCGTGAGCTGCAGGTTGGCACCTAACACTGTTACCAGGGAGCAGGAGAAAGCTGTGAACATGGAAGGTCACTGTGGGGCAGCCTGCTCTAGGACCAGCCCTCTGTGGGTGGAATGATGCTTAGGACATTCTCTCTATGCTCAGGACGCATGTAGGAAGCAATCAAGATAGCACTGGACAGCACCAGTGGCCCTGGCTGTGACTGACAGGAGGCGAGGAAGCTGCACAGGCCCAGGTGCAAGGACGGCCGAGCCAAGACCCAGGCCGGTCACACAAACTCCACCAACCCCATGAGGCCACGCCCACCAGCCCAGCCGAACCCAAACTCACCTTTGAGGGAAGCCACATGGGACAAGGCCTGGGCGTAGGTGGCCGTGTTCAGGAGAGTCCCCGGCAAGCAGGAGGGGAAGAAAGGCCCTGCAGGACCTACCGTTCGCCCCAGGCTGGCAAAGGAAGGAGATCATATTGAGGTCTCGCCCTGTGTCTGCAGTGCTGCCCATGGCCCACCGGGCCCAGAGACCCACAGCCTCACCTCTGCTGGGCCTCCAGCGCCTCCTTCTTACTCCGGGCTTGGTCCCCAGGGGGCGGGGAGTTGATGTTTCTCACTGGAGGAGGTGTCACCTCTGCCATGGGCTCCTTGGCTCCTGGCTCCTGGTCTGAGGCCCCTCTCTCTGTCTTCCTCCATTTGGCCCTTCTGTTCTGGAACCAAACCTGAATCCCAGATGGAAACATACACCCAGTGAAAATCAAACAGGAGGAAGAAGCCAGAACCCTGGACCCAGTGCTGGCACTCACAGCTCACCCTGCAGCCTCCTCTCCACACCATGCCCTCTGAACTGCAGCGTCAGGCCCACAGAGGGGTCAGAAGATCCGCTTAAAAGGTTAGGACAGGCATTTTTTAATGAATGTTAAATAATGGAAAGTATCCGAATGCCCATAGTAAGGGTAAAAGCACTGTCTTGTGGAAATCCTTAACGTTGAGTCACACGCAAGTTCATTTATTTGTTGTGAAATGTATTTCCTACTGGAGGTGGAGGATCACCAGCAAAGCAGCTTAAGAAACCTGACCCGGGGCTTCCTCATCACAGACTCACTAGCTCTTCTGACAGCTGTGGCCTGGGTACCTGGGTGTGTCTGGTCTGGCCTCATATCTATGATATCATCTGGATACACATCATGACATATTCGTGATCAGCAGCCCAGTGCACCCATTAGAAACATTGACTCTGGGTCAGGCGTGGTGGCTCAGGCATGCAGTCCCAGGACTTTCGGATGCCAAGGTGGGCGGATCACTTGAGGTTGGGAGTTTGAGACCAGCCTGGCCAACATGATGAAACCCCATCTCTTTTTGTAAAAATACAAAAAGTTAGACGGGTGTGGTGGTACATGCCTGTAATCCCAGCTATTCAGGAGGCTGAGGCAAGATAATCACTTGAACCCGGGAGGTAGAGGTCGCAGTGAGCCGAGATCATGCCACTGCACTCCAGCCTGGGTGACACAGTGAGACTCCATCACAAAAAAAAAAAAAAAGACAGAAAGAAAAGACAGAAAGAAAAGAAACACTGACTCTGGATCTAGCCATGGCCTAGAATTTGGGACCTCAGTAAATCTGGTTTAGAATCCACTGCATCCCTATGAGGTAAGTAGTCCTGTTATCCCCATTTTTCAGATGAGAAAATTAAGTGCAGTGAGGTTAATTAACTTGCCTAAGGCTATCCAGGTGGTAAATGGCAGATCCACAGTTTGAAGCCCAATGGCTTGGCTGGGAACTGTGATTCAAACTGTTTGGGGGTAATAACTGTGGCCACCCCATAAGCCTTGTTAGGAAGATTGGCATGTCTGCAAAACACCGAGCACAGGGCCTGATGCATAGCCATCCATCACTCAGTAAACACGTACTCATGTCATCTCCGTCACCCTCAGGTTACAAAAAAGCTGGTAATTCACCTTGACCTGAGCACCTTCTTAGAGGTAGGTGCAGGGTTCTTTAAGCCTTAGAAACCAAAATTGTATTCTGTAGGATGGCCTCATGGAAGCTGGGCAGCCCAGATTCAAGGAGTTTCCAGAGGTCAGTGAAATCCTGCTGCTGTTTACTCCTTCCAGCAAAACCTCTTCCCTCCTCTCCTGGGAGATAATTCCTGACTACAAAGAAAAAAGAAATGCTTGGCAAGACCTCCCTTCAATTCCCCAGGGCATCCTCTCCTCCCCTGGCTGCTGGCACACTGGCCCCAGAGAGAGCCTGGGTCCTTGAGGCTGAGCCCTCTGCTGGGCTGGCCCACCCTATCTCTTAACTTTCATTCTCCTTTAACTGGGTTTCTTTCTTTCTTTTCTAATCTACTTGGCTTTTAATTGCACATATCAGCAACCATTGAATAATGATTTTATCTATATTCTAAATTTAGGGCAGTTAAATGCAAAGCAAAATGCAGACACTTTCTTGCGTCTTAATTGAATGAAGGTCACAGCTATAACAACATTTAATTGAGCTATTTTTCATTATCATATTTTAATGACTTTGCACTGACAGTTCGCCTGCTTCTGAGGAAAGAGCATGATGGAGTCGTTTATTTCCCTATTTAGTTATTGTTTGACAACATCAGCTTCGATTAAGACCCTGCTTTATAGAACATTAATCATATTTGAATGAGCAAGGGGTATAAATGTAAACACATCTCCCTTCCCACCACCAAAGCCCACGTCCCCACATGGAGGCTCACTAAACAAGCGCTTCACAGCCATTGTCTGTCTGCATAATAGCCAACAACAGCCTGAACAACAATTCCCGGCTTTAATTGTCACCACCCCTATCTTACCCTTGCACCTTTCAGGGAGAAGTTATGATCTTCCACTTCTGAATGCTCAATAATTGTGTCATTTATCTCAATTTGCAGTTCAGTCTTTAGGCAGCTATTGGCAAGCTGGCATTAAAAAAAGAAAGGATAGACGGTATCCTGGCCAAAGGAGATTTTCATTTCCAAATAATAATCAGTTTAATTTGCCCGCATATGACCAATGATTCATGTTCAGATTTAATAATCAGGATCACATAATCTGATTATAGGGGAAATAATTTGTTTACAACCCCCAATTTACTGCTCAGAATTCCATTATCTCTCTTCAGCCATTGGTTTTTAAGAGATACTAACATGACCCAGGGGAACCGAAAGCAAACTATTATATTTCCTACAATTAGATCTTTGCATAGTCTTAACCCCAAGCCCCTACATAAAAAAGAACAGAAACAGCATGGAGGAAACCCCATAAATAAAATGAATATATAATTGTGCTCAAAGAATAGCTCGCCCAGAGAGGCGGCACCGTGAATCCCTTCCTCTCGCACTTGGGCACATCTGCTGGGTTCGGCGGGCAGGTTTGTGTGCCTAAATGTAATCACCGTGTAGCTTCTAAACAGAAATCCTGTTTAGAGACGGTCACCGCGGGCCATACTCATCTCTGAAGCAGCCCTATCACTACTGCTGTTTAAAGATTTTTAAATTGCACATCTTCTTTGGATCCACTTTGTTGAAAGAGTCTGAGGGCAGGGGAAAAGTTGGACATGATGCAATTTCTGGAAAGCAGATCCTACTCTGCTTCCCATCTGAAAACGCGGTTCTCTGCAATTGACCAGCCTTACCCCAGAGCGGTCAGAGCTGCTTTTAGAATAGCATCTCAGCTCTTTTCTTTCTTTCTTTCTTTTTTTTTTTTTTTCCAAAGCAAGGAAATGGATGTGCATTGATGTAATTTAGTACCTTAGAGACGCGGACAAATTAGTGTAGAACATTATCACTAGTTAATTATGAATGACCGATTAATCAACCTAATCTAATATTCCACATTATGTTGATGTTATTAAAGTGCATCATGAAAATGACAGATAGTCTTCATTTGCTTTCTTTGGCCAAATGTGCACTCTGCAGTCATGATGTCAAAAAAAAGTTTGCCAGTTTTAATATTAGAGAGTTAAATAATTAAAAAGAAGGTTTACCTGCACTCTGGCTTCTGTGAGGTTTATTTTCATGGCGAGCTCTTCTCTGGTGAAGACATCTGGATAGTGTGTTTGGGCAAAAACGGCCTCGAGAGCTTCCAGCTGGTAAAAGGAAAAAATATGTACTGGTGAGAGGCTGTGGCTAGGTGAGGGGAAGCAGATGCATATTTCAAATCTCCTGTGAGTGGTGAGGAAGCAGTTTCACAGATTAAATCGAGGAAGGACAGGGAGAAGAGAGCTCTTTGGAAAGATCCCACAGAATGAGAATTTCAACCGCGGATGACTTAGGAGCTACGGCTTACTAGCAACCTCAGTGCTCTGGCAAGAAGTAGAAATAAGAGAGGTGTGAATATTTATATGCATTTACATTTAAGTATTGTCATAGGAATCAAAAAAAAACTAACAGTCACCTTATGAACTGTTAGAGTAATTGTTATCGCTTTCACCATAGGAAGCCAGGGAACAGAAACAACTTGCAGAAGCCTCATGGTGTCATCCCACAAAACGCCATAGGGATATTTGGTCACCTTCACAGCCACTCCAGTTCACTCCAAGAGTAGGACAGAGGCTGATCGAGGGGAAAAAGCCCAGCTCTGGGAAACACAGTATCAAGGTCCCAGTTGTAGCCCTTCCACTTGTGGGCAACTATACCTTATCCAAGTCAGCCAACTTCCAGGGATCCGGTTTTTCATCTCTGTACTGAGAATGAGAATGTCTGACCTGCCTTCCTCAGAGGATCACTGTGAGGTTCAAATGATATTGCTGACATGGAAGTGTTCCCCAAACTATCCACCTAAGGCAAGTGGGAGAGAACGTTGTTGCCTCTTCACTCATCTGGGATTACAAGGTTAGCGTCATCTGCATGCCTCCTAAATTTTGATTCCATGGCACATAAGTTGTTCAAGAAAACAGAAAGATTCAGTTAGCATAATCAATTGGTCTTATTTTAAAAGACAAAGAAGAGTTGCTCAACTTTGATTTGGGGGAGGTAGGAAGTAGCTGATGTTTGAAAGGAGAATCAACGTTGGTACCTGCTGAAGAGTGAACGTCGTCCGGTTCCGGCGCTGTTTTCTACGCAGAAACCCGTCATCAAAATCCCCCGAAGAGTGATTGCCAAAGGTTGCAGTGCCTACCAAGAGCAAACTGATCAACCTGGGCAGGAAGGGGCCCCAGTCCTCAGACCGCCCCCAGACACAGTTCAGAGGGCACCCACCTGACCCACCAGACAGGAAGCCCTGTTTGTCCCAAAGGATATTTTTCTGTTCCTCCTATTAAATCCTCCTCTTTTCCACTCTGTCCCCAAAACCTCTGACTTTAAATCCAGGTATCCCTATTACATAGGGCGAGTGGTGACCTTAATCCCCAAGATGGCCAATTTCAATTCTTGTGAAATTCTAGACTCTGAACCAGGAAGGGTCACTGGCTTGAGGCAGAGCCTTCACGTGCTCTCCAGCTCCCAGCTCCACCCCTGTTCAATGTGCCTTTATCTCACCCCTACTCCAGATCCTTTAATAGAAGCCTGTGTGTCTCCCTTTGGCTCATATGGTAGTTTACTTTCCCTTGTTTCTATTAACAAGAATTAAAATCTGGGGGTTAGGAGAGGCTGGGGGAGGAAAGAAAACACCAAGAGCTTTTCACGGCACTTTTCTCTTATAAGTGCAGAACGTGAGGAGGTAAGAAGTTTATAAATGAATATTAATTACCGTTGGTCACAGCTCATCAGCACCATAGTGGATCTGTTATATAGATGTCAATTAACAAGAGATCTGCACCAATAGTGACTGTCCTGAATGCCAAGCAGACTTGAACAAGGCCACTCTCAAAGGGCACCCCACCCTCTGGCCAAGCCTTATAAAGCACCTACCACTTCTACTTCCCCACAAAAGAAAGACATTGTCCTCCCCAGCAGGCTTCCAAGCTCGTTATAAACGCAGAACAGAGTTTGGCCCCAAATGTGCATTCAGATCATTTTCCAAATGTGCTCTATTTACTTGATAGTCCACAATGGCTTCTTAGGAAAACAAATGAGCAAGTTGCCATTAACCAGTGAATACTTTACCTGCCATGGGCTCTGTTCTCAGAATCACGGCATTAGGAGTTCTGGAGCTACACTGTCCCAGACAAGGACCCTCAGAAGGACCTCAGTCTCAAAGATTGAAAGTCCTTTGGGCTTCTTAAAATTCTGTCTACTAGAGGAAGTTCCTTTTAGTTATTCTTTCACCATCCAGGGCCACATCCTTTGCCAAACACCCTGACTCTCTGCTAAAGCGTTCTCCTTCCATCTTCCTGTCCAAATTGCATTGTTCCTCAAAACCTTAGTTACAGGTATTTCTCTCCAGCTCATTGGAAACTTAAAAGAAATGACCTCAAAGCAGTCTTATTTTCATTACTTTGCAAGAAAACAAATTGTCTTTTTTTGAAACAATGCACTTGACTGGTGAGGATGGAACACAATCTCTGAGGATCTCCAATCACAATTTCGCTCAGTCTTCTAATTTATACATCATGGTCCCAAAGTGGCTCACAATGTGTACATGCAGAATCTTTAAGTAAAACACTGCATGTCGAACTGAATCCTAAAAAAGGGCTGACAGTTCACCAAATTAATAAAAGATTGACAACCTAATAGAAAAGAGGAAAAAATGAGAATAGCTCTTTTACTTAAAAATAAGTAGAATAGTCGATAATATTATGAAAATGCTAAACCTTGAGGATAATTCAACCAAACACAACAGAACAATGGAATATTATTTTCAACATTTTGAAGAAAAAATGAGGTGCATAAAGACACCCAGTACAGATATGAGTATCATAAGATGTGCAGGCTTATTCACCATTTGTAGGAGTACAAATTGGGTACAGCCTTATTAGAAGGTAATTTGACAACATCCATCAAAAATGTAAGTACACATACAGGTATTTAATCTATAAATATATTTGTAATGTGTGCCAAAATAGAAAAAAAAAGTGCTTCTGGAAATACTGTAGTTGAAAAAAAATGAAAACAACCAAAATGCCCATCAGCAGATGCTTTCTTCACAACATACAATGGAATACTACACAGCAGTTTAAAAGAAATCAGTAGATCTATATGCATTGGCATGAACAAATCTCCAAGATATATTACAAAGTAAAAAAAGCAAAGTACAGAATGATGTAGCAATATAATTTCAGTGCAAATAAGGCAAAACACATATTTTAAAAATACATAAATGAGAATTAAATCATGTTTTTCTTGAAGGAATCACAAAAAAAATAGCAGATACTTTTAGGAAAAGAGGTGGAAAAGGAGGATTTTGCTTTTCAATGTATAAGTTTCTGTTGTATTCAAACTTCTCAGGCAGGTGCCAGTAGTACTTTTTAATGTAACATCAGCAAAATTATCTGAGAAGTAAGATTATGAGCCTTTCTTTCTTTTCTCCCTTATGCCTATCTAGATTAACAAAAAATTAAAATAAAAAAGATGATAGGCTATAATTATGTCATATTCCAAGGGTCTGTTCTCAACTTTTCCATTTGCGGGAGATCCCTTTCACCCAGCAACACTAAACTAAACTAAATTACTCCTTTCTGCAAAACTGGCATAGAATCACATCTACAAAGGGATGAAAGGCTCTTAAAGACCCATCTCCTTTTCTTCTGGTTATATCACAGAGTCAGCACTGAGGTGGGATGTGCCCAGGGTGTGGGGAGCACAGTAAGCCAGCTGAGCTGGGCTGAGAGCTGGGGTCACCGCAGGCCAGGCCAGGACTCTCCCTAACTCACTGCTGCAGTCCACCCCGCAGACAGACATTCATGACGTCCCCTACCTGCCAAATGCCCAAACTTCTGCCTTACCCACTTTGACCAGAAGGGTGGGACACTGGCTGGCAATTAGTCCAGACCCCTGGTTCAGATGCACAGAGAAGGCACCCTTAACATACAGAAAGTCTCCCTCATCCCCTAGGGTACACTGTCAGGGGATGCACGTCTCCCACCCTTCCATAAAACCCACCCTGCATGGGAACTTGGGGATAAAATGTGAAATGCAGGCAAATGTGTGGCCTTCCCTTCCTAGGAATGCTGACAGAGCTAGCAGGGCTTAAACACTGGTCCTCATTAGCCTCCTTTAGAAAATCCTATTGGACTCTTAAGAGCTTTTATGAGAAAAACAAAAACAAACTTTCTGAGGCTCAGCCACTGCTCAGGGCAGCCTGCAGCAAGACTGACAAGCATCACCTGAAGTCTCAGGTCTCCTAGCGCCTCACAACATATACCCTGCCCCTTGTCTCCCACAACTACTTGGCTTCCCAAATTCTCCCACCACAATAATAAATCAAACGAGTAGGTTGCCAAATGCCAGTCCGACGGTTACAAAAGTCCCAATACCCCAGTGCTGAGACTGCTGCTCTGCAGAAGGCCCCATTAAAGCCCACAGTGTGGCATTGGCTCACCTGATGGCTACTAATTGGCCCCCTGATGTGAAGACCCCATCCTTGGATCCCTCGGGTCCTGAGCAGGGGCATGCTGAGGTCCCAACTGTCCCCTTCTCACCAACCCACGCCCCCACTAACAACTGGGTGCAGAAGCCAGACTGGGGATCCTGAGGGGAAATTTCTTCTCAGGCCTGGAGACACTCAAAGATGGAAATTCTGGCCTGGGGAGTGGGGAGTGGTCGACATTTAGGGTTAGTGAGTCACAGAGAAGGAGCCATGCTAGGTCAGTCCGGGCAGGTGGTGGGCAGGGCCACCTGGTTCCAGGGACGGCCAGGAGGCCGGGAAGGGAATTGAGCTGCCCAGAATCCAGGGCGGAAGAGGCCCCTGCAGTGTTCTCGCCAGCGGCCCCAGTGAGAGCAGCCCAGCGACGGGCCCTTGTAGGCTCGTGCAGCTCGTGATCTGGGCCAGGACGCGGCGGGTCCACTCGCCTTTGCTTTCTGGGATGTTTGCAGAAGCACCGTGAAAGATTGATGCGGCCCCCTGGGTTGCGGAGCCCCAATTAGAGGCGTGACACCAGCATCTGTGCTGGGAGGATTCGGCCGGTCCCCGCGGCACGCCTAGCCCGGGGCGTCCTGGCCCAGGCGGGGAGGGAGCTGGGAGGCAGGTGGCGACGGGGCGGGGAGCTGGAGCGGGCCTGGAGTGGGGTGTAGGGAGGGGTCCAGGGAGGCCCCTACTCACCGGCAGGCGGCTGCGCCCCCCGCAGGGCGGGGACCCAGCCACCCACCAGCCCTGCTGCCGCTCCGGCCCTTTCTGGCCGGCTCTGGCTTCATGGAGACCCTGGGGCGCAGCGCTTACTTACCCTCTAGCTGTGGCGGGCAGTGGAAATAAAACATCGCCGGCTGTCAGATCGGCTGGACGGCCGAGACCTGGGAGGGTGGCAGCAGAACGGACCCGCGCGCGTTGCTCCTGCCTGGCTGCAAAGCAAACAGCGATAGAGCTTCAAGTCTCCCTCTGCCAGCGCTCCCGCCCAGCCCTAGGGCGCACCCGGCGCTCCCCTCCTGGAAAGTCCCTCCCAACGCCCTCATCTCACTGCGGGGGACAGGAGGGAAGGCGGCAGCCCCGTCGCAAGCAGCAACCCCACAGGGCAGTCCTTCGGGTGTGTCCACCTCCCGGACGGCCGTGCCCTCACCCTGGCCCCAGCACCAAACCCCGCAGCGTAGTTTCTGGCTCTCTGGGGTCCCAGCCAGAAGCCCTGCACCCGGGCCACCGCAGCCAGGTCCGGCTAGCGCGCAAGGCCATCTGCGAGCTGCAGCTCAGGCCAGGAAGGCAGCCGAGCCCCAAGGCCCGGCGCTCGGGGCCCGGCGAGTGGGTCAGGAGCCGAGCATACCTCGGCGGGCGGCGGTCGAGGAGGTCGGAGCGTGACCGCCTCCGATCCGCAAGCCCTGCTCGGCTGGCGGCGGGCGGGGCTCGGCGCGGCTGGCGCCCGCAGGACCAAAGAAGTGACTCGGGAAGTGGCCAGATGTCTTGCTGTCTGTCTGCAGCGCGCGCCGCCGCTCAGCACTCGCCTTTATAATCTCACGCATAATTGGCCTTAATCTGATTATTTCCAGCGCTGTCTACAGCGAGTAACTTGGATAGGTCTATTGGGCCTTACAAATGGCCCACGTGGTGTTAAAAAAAAAATCCGTCATTTCTCAGCAAACATCAGGAATGCTTTTTCCTCTTTTAAAAGAGAACGATACAACCACCACCACCATCACCCCCAAAAACATACATTTTCCGAAAACACACTAGGCCCCACCCCCCACCTCATGTCCCCTCAGAGGCAAACCTTTCTCCGAGAGAGCCTGGTTTGGGCTGCCCTTATCAAAGGCCTGGTGACTCCCGGGCTGCAAATTGGCAAAGCGCTGCTAATTGTCGCCGCCGGATGGGTTTTGGGGGGACTCTTTGCACACGGCTTCCCTTTCCAAACGATCGTACAAAAGGAAAGTTTGATTTTGTTCTCAGCAAGGGGTCCCTGAATTTATGTTCGCTTCTCGATGCAAATGATATGCGGTGGGACCCTTTGCAATTACTTTTAAAATGCATCCGAGGCAGACACTCAACGGAGAGAGACCGCCCTTCTCTCTGCCTGGGTGAAAATTAAACTCTAAAGTACCGGGCTGAAATTTTCAAGTCAGGGGCGCGGGATTGGATCAAATCACATAAACTGCAAAAAAAGCAAGTCTAATGGCGCATAATTGGTTCTGTAATAGCATTACACCAGGATAATAGCCCGTTACGGCCCCCTGCACTATTAAGTGCTTCCCTGGCGGAAAGCCTTTATGATATTAAAGGGGGAATATAATGATATTTTGGTTATTAAATGCGTGTAATTAATTTATGCACCACTGAAAATAAAGTTGGTATTATGACCCACTCAAGATGCATCAGAAGATGCAAGTCAGACAACTGTTGATAAGTTCTGGTGTCTGTGCTCCGTCTAGACTGCTGATTTTATTTTGGGACGATGGCTTCTTGGACAGACTACATAAATTGAATATTTTATAAACATTCTAATGCTGCGTTAGGGAGCCTTGGCGAGGTGGTGGGTCGGGTCCCTGCACGGCCCGGGATACAGCCTTGATCTTAAAGACGCAGCGCTTTGGAAACAAAAGGCCTGGCAGGCCCGCCGCTGGACACCAGCGCTGGGCAAGGAGCATCGAGCTGCAGGACAGAGCGCTGGGTCCCGGCCGCCGTTGACGCCCCTCCGAAAACAGCCGGGAGGAAGACCAGTCCCGCTCCGGTCGAGGCAAGTCAGGATCTATTCCAGTGAAGCGGCCCTTCCTGGGCTCAGTCGCTCCAGAGCAGAGTCTGCTCTGCCTCGGGGAAAGAATCACAGGAAACTTCCGCTCGTTTCAGAGCGGAGAGAGCTCGGGGCGCCATTTCCGCCAGGGCCACCGACTCCGAGAGTCCAGGCAGCCGGCCCGGGAGGAGCGGCTAGCAGGTCCCGAAGGCGGGTGAGGTGGCAGGCAGGGGCCGGCAGGGCAGCCGAGGGCCTTTCCTACGTCATGCCAAGAGGGCTGGGAGCCCCTAGAGCTGATCCTCCCTTAGCCCAGGTCAAGAGACTGGCTCGCGCGCGCTGTCTCTCTCCCTGTCTCCCTCAGAGGGCCCCTGCTCTCTGGAGCTCTTGACAAGAGCCCGAGGCTCCTCTTGCCGCCTAGGTCTGCCGAAAGTCCCCTCGGGTTCCCTCCTGCCCTAGGCAGCAGTTCCCTGCCTGTGCGCTTTGGGAACCCGGTGGCCGTGAAGTGAGGTGCGGACAGCTTCTGGGCCGCCTCGGCCAAGATGCTCAGGCGCACCTGGGGGTGTGTGCGGGAACCCTCAGCGGCAGCAGCCCAGCCCGGGGTGCAGTGTTGGCCCCAGAAACCAATGAGGTCCAAACGCCAGTCTCAGTTCCCCATCCCTGACATCGACCGAGGCAAGTTCCTATTAAGGCCCAGAGATGACCCCGGGACGAGACAGGCTCATCCGGCGCGGATGAGACAGGCTCAGACCTGCGCGGTCTGAGGACGGCGCGCTCGCCGAGCAACCCGGCAGGTCAGAACCCTGGACAGCGGCGCCGGTTTCCGCACCCCCACCCACCCCCGGCTGCTGCGGAGAAAGAAGCCGTACCGGGGGCCCAGCCGGGGCCCCTCGCTGCTCAGGGGTGGGATCCGCCCGGCCGGACCCCAGGCGTCCGGGGACCGACCCCAATCCTCTCCCAGTCCAAACCTGCGAAAGTTACTCCGGACATGCGCTCAGCGCTGGCAACAGAGACAAAACTCCCTTCTCCGCAGTACCACGCGCCGCTCCTACCCGGCCGCTGCAGCCGGAAACCATCTCGCGGCCCCCGAGGAGAGTCCGGCCGCCTCACTGACTAGATAACCAGCCGAGCTCCCTCAACACACCCACCTCGCGGGGGCTCTAAGCCGGCTTGGGACCCTCGGCCTCGCCTCGCCCGGCGCTCCTCTCCCGGAGCCGCTAGGCTGGGCTCCTTCCCGTTGGCAAAACAGCGAGTAAACAAACAACCAAACAACCTTAGAAACGAAAGGCTGCACCAAACTTTGATGACGCCAGCCCCCTTTTTTTCCGAATGTCTCGACACCCGGGAGAAGGTGACTAATAGGTGTTCGCTACGGTCCCCCTCCCCCTAAAAAAGGGCGTTAGTAACGAAAAGGTTATTTTTCCTTAATTTTTGTGCGGTAAAATGTATTTTCCAATTAACCAAATTCGCCGATCTGTCTCGCTTGGACACTCTGATAATTTACAACCTAAAAGTGTACTTTCTTTATCTAAAGACCAAGGTGACTGCTTTTAATTTTCTCTAACCTCTTTACACTTGATGTTCACCAGACTCATAATGTTAATTGGCTTCATATACGGATCATCAGTTTAATGAAGAAATAAATCCTGTGTTGCTTTATGTTTTAACAGTGATTGCTTTAATGAGGAATGTGACGTGTTCCAAAATCAAAGCTGCAGGAGACATTAGAGGGGCTTCCACTAGGACAGAAATGCTTATTTAAAGTTAAAACCGCGGGGTCATATTTCAGCAGATTCACAGTCCTCCCCACCCCCTCCCCCGCTCCCCGCCCTCACCTAGCCTGCCTCCCGCCTCTGTAGGGAGACAATCCTGGGTCCTCAGTGCCCCTTCTCTCCGCATCTCATACCCGCAGCCACAGCATCTGCATTCCCGAGAATCATTTCCTGGTTGCTACATAGGGTGTGCTACTTTGCCTCCTGTCCCATAGGGAAGAGAGAAGCCAGCTCAGGGTGGGGAGTTCAACTTTCAAAGTTGTTCATGTTTTTAAAAATAAAATGGGAAGACAGTAACACGCCTGAAGACTGGCGTGCAGATGTTGTTACAGATGCAGCTCCCCCAGAGCCGCATGTCTTAGTGCTGAAAATTCGAGGCTTGGCTCCCAAAGGCTGACAGCTCCAGCTCAGGCCCAGTGAGTGGGCTGCTGACCCCCCAGGTTCTAGCCACTGCAACTGTCTGCAGGGATGCGCTAGGCTTCTGCCCAGGTGATGGAAGTTTTACATCTCTATATCAATTAATAGCAGAGTAAATCTGCTTTCTCTAATGGGTGTTTGATTTTTCTAATTTTAAGCTGGTTCTATGAAAGGAAAACTGTCATCTCAGAAACACTAAGAGCAGCAATAAAAAGCTGGAAATGCGAGCATCTATCTAAGCCCTCAATTGTTTTCAGTTGAATTATGAATCATTTTAAATTGATTCCTGAAAAGAATTCCAAATCCTTAGAAAATGTAGGGGTTTGAAGGCTCCGAGTTGGGTCTTAAATACCATACATAGTATTCATTTCTTACTGTTTGCCTTGTTTTAGGAAAATTGGGAAAATATTTGGAGACACCTCTGTCCTCATCTTTTGAGCCCAAATACAAAAATATGTGTTGGATTTGACATCTTAATTGTGCTCAGAAAGGATTTTCACAACCTCCCTTTTAAAACTTTCCTTAGCAGAAATGACTTCAGTACACATGGCTTAAACCCATAGCAAGAGGGTAAAGCAGGTAAAATACTTAAATTATCAGGGAGGAAAAAACCACACTGAATTCCTAATTATATGTTTTGGAAGGGCCCAGGTTTGATATTTTTACAAATGTTTTAAAGGCTCTCTAGCATAATCCCCGGTGGATATATCTCAGTGTGAATATGGCGTATTCTCTACTTGTCGGCAAATCTATCGTTATATTGTAGTTTTGGAAATTGCCAAAAAAGTTAGCTTAGCTAAGCTAAACATGAGAGAATATGTGAAGGACATAGCAGTTAATGGAAATTCCAGATTTCCCGGGGACTTAGGAACAGAAAATATATATACACAACAAGGGATAGATATGCATTTTATCATCCTGGAAATTCCCTATAATTCACTAGTTTTACTGCCATATAAAACATAGTAGCTGCTCAAATGCAAGCCAACTTCCAATAACTTCACCTGTTCTTGTCCAGTGACCACAGGACAAAGTATATTCCCATGTGGTTCCCAGGGATCTCAGAGCTCAGCTTCAACCTTTGGCCCTGTGTTTGCTGCAGAGCTTGGAGGGTTGCCCATGGCCTCCTAACTCTCACAAGGAAAGAGAGCACAGCCCAGGAGGAAGGCCCACCACCTGCAGAGTCTGTGCCCCTGCCTCCATTCAAGCAGGCTTCGGTCCTCAGGAGACCAGTGAGCTTGAGCAGGTCACTTACTCTCTCAGGACATCCCTCTCTCATTGTGTGACATGGGACAACAATGCCACATCAAGTGCTGGAGGGAGGATTAAAAGACAGTGCCAGCCGTGTGCGGTGGCTCACGGCTGTAATCCCAACACTTAGGGAGGCCGAGGCGGGCAGATCACAAGGTCAAGAGATCGAGACCATCCTGGCCAACATGGTGAAACCCTGTCTCTAATAAAAACACAAAAATTAGCTGGGCATGGTGGCACATGCCTCTAGTCCCAGCTACTCGGGAGGCTGAGGCAGGAGAATCACTTGAACCCAGGAGGCAGAGGTTGCAGTGAGCTGAGATTGCACCACTGCACTCCAGCCTGTCGACAGAGTGAGACTCCGTCTCAAAAAAAAAAAAAAAAAGACAGTGCTAAAAGACTTTTAGGACAGTTAAAACTATTTTAACAGTAGATATACGTCATTTGACGTTTGTCTAAACTCATAGAATGTACAACACCAAGATGAACCCTAATGTAAATGGTGGCCTCTGATGACATGTCAATGCAGGTATACCTACTGTAACAAACGTGCCACTCTGGTGCTAATGTTAACAGTTGGGGAGGCTGGGGGGTGGATATATGGGAACTCGCTGCACTTCCTGCTCAATTCTGCAGTGCATAGAAAACTCCTCTACAAAATAAAGTCTATTTTAAAAGTTAAAAAATTTTAAAGAGGGTGCTGAACACAATGCCCAGCACATAGCAACTGCCCTGTGAACATCAGCTGCAACTGTGGCATTATCATTATCATTATTATTGTCTTGCTGCTAGGGCCACGTTCCTGGAGAGATGATCCTGTGAGCCATTTTGGGAACTTACAGATGGCACCTGAATCTTCTGGTGGTCTCCTAAATGAGCCCTGTTCCTCACCAGGCCAAAGCCACACCACCCTTGGGAGAGCTCCCACTTGCCTGTCTGCCACACTTGCTTCCTTACCGTTTTTTGTTCTTCATACTTAATTGCCTGGTTTGTTGAACTGTACTCAAAACACCTATTTTGCTAGAAAACCTAAACCAAGGTCCTTTGAGCTCAATCAAAGGCATCTTATCCAGTTGATAGAAATGTTTTAGAAATTTAAATCCATTGCCTTTAGATTGGGCATGTCAACTACTTGGTCACAGACCTCACTATTCCCTACTACTTTCCTCTCTCCAGGTTGTGTAACCCCCCGGCTCCTGCAGTTATCTGTCTTTCCTACCCTTGACATAAATTCTATGTGAGTTTATCATTATTTTCAGACTGATAATGACTTTTTGTCAAGTGTTAGGATAAGAAAGGGGTGTGTTGAGGAAGGCCAAGTCTTCGGCTTCTAGCATTTCAGGGTCTCGTTCAGTCCATTTCAACTCTTCTCTCCTTCTCCCTTCTTTCTTTCTCTCTCTCCTTTCTCTCTCATTCTCTCTCTCTCTCCTTTCTCTCCTTCTTTCTTTCTCTGTCTCTCCTTCTTTCTCTCCCCTTCTCTCAGGTATCTAGCACCTTCTCTGTGCCATGCCAGGGGATGCAGTTCTGAGCTCACAGCCCTGGGGAACCAGCCCCTAGGGATTCTGGCTAGGGAAGGAGATGGGGATGCAGAGGTAAGGGAAACTCGCACCACGTGGAAACCACACCCAAAGGTACTGGATCCACTGTACCTTGTCTCCACCGCCCTAGAGGAACTTCTGGATGGGCAGCTCTGAGAACATAGCTCACCTCTAGCTGGGGAGGAGCTCCTGTCCTTATGTGCTCTCCTGCAGCTTCCAGTGGAGAAGAGACCAAAGACACAGTATCTCCTCTGTCCCCAGAGTTCTCGCCAGAGTCTTGTCAAGGGGTCTTGACAGGGCTAAGCATCAGCCGTCAGCCTCCTAATGGGACAATCTTGAGGGGCTAGGAGACCCACATTGGTCTGGGAGACCTCCTCCAGGTACACCCACAGTTTCGATTTCTTAGATCCCAGCATCCAAGACTGCTCTAATTGATTCACTGGAGTCACTGACTTGGAGCAAAATACTTTTATAAGTATTTAGTTGGTAAGTCTAGCTACTATTAACATGCAATAATGAATTGCTAATAAGAAAACTAAATCAATCTAAGGAAATCTCAAATTGGGACCGGCCAGAAATAGAAGAAAGATCTCAGTCTCCAAGTCTAAATTATTTCACCAATAAACCTCTAGAAAAAAAAAATAGCTTTCAAGGTCAGCTCTTGGGTGCAAAGCTCTTTGGGTGCATTCATATGACTTGAATGGAGCTGTGGTACATGGAGAGGGGACTGGGAACAGCAGAGGCAGGGTTGGCGGCCAGTCCTCCTGATCCCCAGCCCGACACCCCCGGCTGCTGCCCCCTAAATAGGACATGGCTCCCCTCAAACAAAACGCACGTTCAATTGCCCATATTAAGTGCTCGATAAATGTGTGGAATTTAATGGAAATTACCACGGAAGGAATGAAGTAAGTTTGCTACATGAATAATTAGCAAACACAATGAATCTTTTCCATTTCTAAGACTTGGATTATGTACATAGCTGCAGCAGGAGGCGTTTGGGTTTTCAACCAGGAGAACTTGGGGTCAAGTCTGGCCTCTTAAACCTCCCTATTGACAAGGTCTGCCTGTCAGTACTTGATCCAGGCATCAGTAGGTTATTCTCGCTGCCCCCAGCACTCTCTCTTCTTTCTCTCTTTCCCTCTCCCCGTTTCTCTTTCTTCCTTTCACCACTTCATTCTTTCTCTTTCCAGCCCTCTCTCTCTTCCTCTTTTTTCTCTCCCTGTCTCTCTTGCTCTTTCTCTCCTTCTCTCCCTCTCCCTCTCTCTCCCTTCTTTCTCTCTCTCCTTCTCTCTCATTCTCTTCTTTCTCTCCTTCTTTCTGTCTCTCTTTCTCGCTCTCCCCTTTTTTCTCTCCCCTTCTGTCTCTCCTTTCTTTCCTTCTTTCTCTCTCTCTCTCTTTCTCTCTCTCCTTCTTTCTCTCTCTCCTTCTTTCCCTCCCTTTCTCTTTCTCCCCCTCCCTTCTTTCTCTCTCTCCTCTTTCTCTCTCTCCTTCTTTCCCTCCCTTTCTCTTTCTCTCCCTCCCTTCTTTCTCTCTCTCCTCTTTCTCTCTCTCCTTCTTTCCCTCCCTTTCTCTTTCTCTCCCTCCCTTCTTTCTCTCTCTCCTCTCTCTCTCCCCCTCCCACTCTCTCACACACGCAAAGACACACACAGTGAATACTTCTCAGCTGTGACTTCACTGTCATGCTCTTGCAATCCTGGATCAGCAGGGCCCTCCGTCTCCCCACCTGACCAGCCCACTCCCATCCACATCGGTCCCACCTCTCCAGGACTGCCCTCTGCCCTCCCCAACACCTCACTGCTCTGCTCTTGGTGACTCTGTTGGCCATGACCTTGCATGGCATAGCCAGGCCATAACAGGACTCCTCAGCACATTTCCCAGGGGTGGGGCACTGCCTCCCTCTCCTCCCCGTGGCCTCAGTCTCACTCAACAGCAGACTCTCAGAGCACATTTAGATCGCAATAGAAATATTTATTCCATGAAATTGTCTGCTGTCTAGGCAAGGCTGGCCCAGGCAATTCCCACTTTTCAGCCCCATCCCCAATCAGCCTGCAGCCCCCACAGGCCAGCCTGGCGAGAGGCAAGGTAACACACAGGGAGGCATGCACCTTTGCCCACCCATCCATCAGCCTCCTTATCCATTATTCAGACAGCTGTGCAGCCCCGTTTCGGTGGTCAGGTAACATTCAGCAGATGTACCTGGGGACCTGGGGAGGTTGGGGTGTTGGGAGGGCCTCGTACAGACACTGTAGCAAAGCTTGCCAAATCGAGACCTCCAGCAACAGGGAGTAGGTCCCCTGGATGCAGCCCTGGAGAGGACCTCAGCTGTCCAAGGCAGCCCCTCAGCCCCGGCAGCTTGGGCTCAGGGAGTCCCAGCCAGCCAGGCTGTCCATGGCGTCTTCACTCCCCCGCCACACCAGCCCAGCTCAGGACCAGGCCTCCCTTTTGCTGGAGGATGGAGGCCCCTCCTGTAGCCTGCACATTCTTCTTCTCCCTTATGCACTCATTTCTTCAACAGATGCTCACTGAGAACCCTGTTCATGCCAGCCTTACATGGGGGCAAAAGAAAAGAGATGTCATTTCCTTCACAGTGCTTAAACCTTTTAATATAATATTTGTGTGTGTTCGTGTATGTGTGTTTACCAATATTATTTCCCCAACTAGACTGTAAATGCTGACTGTAAACAGCAGGTCAGCATGGGCTTAGCAGTGCTGGCACCTAGTAGGCATAAAATAAAGATCTGTTCAATGCATACATTAATAAGACAAGATCTACAGCTTCAAGTCACAGAGGACATAGCCGTGAACAAAGCATTTGGAGATAAGTGCCTCAGACAGCGAACAAAGCCAGTGCCTCCCTGCAGTGCTGGGCTGGTGTCCTTCAGTGCTCTCTGGGACAAGTCAGGCCTTGAATAATCGCATGAATTAAAGAGGGACAATCAATTGTCTCTTCTTTCCTGTATCTGTTACTAAAGGTTGCTGAGGGCCTTTAGAGAGTCACCTTCTACATGGTCATGGGGATACACGGTGTGCGAGCCAGGTGAACACCCTCTCCAGTCTTACAGGAAAGGCTGCAGCAGTGGGAAGGCACTTCTCCCTAGCCTGCTTCTCTTGACTGCACCCACAAACCATCCCAATGGCTACTCTCCCACCACTCTGCAGCTGAAGTCATAGAATGGATATGGGGCTTCATGTCCCAAATCCTTATTGCTGCTTTCCAGCTCTTTGGTTGTCTTAGCTTTTTGAGCATCATTTTTCCCATCTGCAAAGCCAAAAGGATTCCCATCATGGAAGAACTACTGTGTGAAATGGTAACATTCTCCACAGCTGATGGTGGTGGTTAGCAACTGTGACAGCCTTTCAGAAAACAGAGGAGGGGGGCAGCCCTTCCACATCTGCATATCTGTCCTCACTCCTGAAATGCCCCCCGTCTTTCTCTCTCTCCCTCTCTCTCCTTCCTCCTTTTCTCTCTCCTCCTCCTCTTCCCTTTTTCCCACCCTCTCTCCCTACTCTCCCCTCCACTCCCTCCTTCCCTTCCTCTTTCCCTTCCCTCCCACTCCCTCTCCCTCTCTCCTCACCCCTTTCCCTCTCCCCTCCCTTCTGTCCCTCTTCCCCCTTTTCCTTCTCCTCCTGCCTGTCCCCACCCAGGTCCAGACTCTGTCTGGCAACATCTATGCTAAACTCTGCTGTGTCCAAGTAATGCCTACTCCCCATTCCCTGCAATGGCTCTCCCAGGAGCACCTGCCTTGGCTCTCATGTCCTCGCCCCTTTAACCAGGAAATTGTGTTTGGAGTTGGGGGGTAGGAATGCAGAAGGGGTGAAGGGAAGGGGACCCTCATTTCTTACTTTAGGCAAAGGTTACCTTCTGGCTGTCCAGCCAGTGGGAGCATTGAGTTGTTTGGCCAGTGTCAGTATTAGAGTCGTTTTGTATTTTCTAAAATGTGAAAACAATTGCACGGAATGCATCTGGCGGAGGTTCTGGTCCCTTGGAATATCTCACCCCTCACACAAGGATACTTTCTGTCTCTTGTCTGAAGGCAGCTGAACTTATAATCCCTGAATGTATTTTTTAAGTGCTTTGTTTATGGCTGACTTTCCTTTTATTATGCTCTTCAGAAAAAGTTGTCTAAAGGAAAATCAATCAATCAATGAATTAAATGTTTAAAAAAATTTTAACGAAGGACATAAGACAAAAAATTAAAACTAGCAGTGGGAGGTGGCTCATGCCTGTAGTCCCAGCACTTTGGGAGGCTGAGGCAGGCCCAGGAGTTCCAGACAAGCCTGGACAACATGGCAAAACCCCATCTGTACAAAAAATACAAAAATTTGCTGGGCTAATTTTTGTTATTTTCTTAAAATAAATTTTCAGTAGATACATGATCTGATCAAAGAATAAGCATATTGCAGATGCCTCAAATTACTCACAGTCCTTCCTATTTCTGTGAAAGCCCATCAGTGACCATTGGCATGCAAGTATTTTTCTCTTCATCTTCACTTCCACCTTGAGCAACCTTCAGCTCCCCCTCCTTAACCAAGTGGCCCATCCTCTTGGGTGGTGAGACACCCACGAGCACAGCTCCATGTGGAAAACTACATCCATCATGCAAATCCCAGAGGCCTCTGAGTCAGCCACTCTAGTCAGTGGTGGCAAAGTTAGAGCCAGGCAGGGTCTCAGGGACGGCCTGGGATGTTGGACACTTATGTGAGGACCCAGGCCAGGGACAGAGGTCTGTAGGAAAGCCCTGAGCCTCCAGATAGATGCTTCAGTAAAGAGGCTGGCTGGGGGAAGAGGTCATAAGCAGGTAGCCCAAAGCTAAAGGTCTCTGGGGTGGAGCTGGAAGCCTGTAGAGGCAGGTCCTAGGACAATCAGTCATGAGGTCAGGGGTCTGTTTTCCGTGGCCAGGAAAAAAGATACTCACAAGTTCAGATAGTAAAGGAGTCAAGGTCAAGGCTGCTGGCTGTTTCTCCCAGGCAGGGTCATCTAGCATGTGGCATATGGTGGTCCTCAGAGCCTCCCCTGAACCCGCTTGGCTCCTCCCACGGTCTCAGAGGGCTGTCAGCAGCAGATGGGGCTCTCTGCCTACAGCCCTACAGAGAGACTCCTCAGTGGCCATACTTTCTGGGTCACTGGACAGAACTATAAACTCCATAAAAATGTAAATTCAGAGTAGTAACCACTGCCTCCGAGGGAGCACAGGGGAAACAGTGGGAAGCCAGGTAGCCTGCCACCAATCGTGGGAAAAGGGAAGTGGGGGCAGGGAGGGGTCTCTGCATCCCCAACATTCTCCCAGCTCAACTTCCTCAGACTGGGCTGAGAAGAGGCATTAACCTACTTGGTACTTTCTGAAACAGCTGCTGCTGTCCTGAAGTTGCACAGAGCCACCCAGCCCAGAATCATCCTCACTGATTTCAGCCAGAGCCAACAGCTGCCACCAGGTGGCACCAAACTGCAGACGGAGTAGCTCCTTTTCCGCTGGAGAGAGCTTCATGTGGATGGCAGGAGCCAGGGCCAATCTGGGTGTTCCTGCTCCTACTAAGGCCCTGGAACAGCCTGGGGTATCAGAAATTGCAAATGCCTGCTGGGTGGAGAATGGATGGATAGGTGGGTGGATGGAAGGAGGAAGGAGGAATGAAAAAATGGATGGATGAAGGGACAGATGATGGAGTTCATTCTACCTCCCTAGCCCCACAGTAGCTGGGCACCCCTTCTCCTTTAGGTGGGCACCACAGGTGAAGCTGGAGATGTGCCCTGGACCTCACAACTCCAACTCAAGAATATGTCCTCCCAGGTGCCTCTGCCTCTAGCTCCACCTGAGGTACACAGCCTGGAGAGAGGGCCTTTATTGAATAAATTAGTGGGGACAAGGTCTGCCTTCTGTGTCAGGGGGTAGAGAGCAAGAGGTCACTGGGGTGTCCTCACACTCTGCATCACACCGGGGGCAGTCGGGGAGAAAACCCATTCCTGTACCCCGTTCCCACTCCAGCCTGGCCAGACACCATCACCCACCTTCCCACCAGTCCTTGCCCTTCCCACTGTCTGGAAAGCTGCCCCTGGGTGGCCTTCAAGACTCTGGCCCTCACTTCATCCTAATCTCGGCTTAAAGTCTTCTCTTCAAGAGAAGACTTCCGAGACGAAAGAAGCCCAATTCTCGTCCCCACTACTCTCCACCTTTATTCTTGCTTTGGTTTCCTGCTTAGCTGTTAAGTCCTTCTCAAATGCTTTATTGGCACATGCTTGGTGTCTGTCTCAGTGCTCTCATGCAAGCTCCACGGTGCACCCTGGCTTCTAGAACAGCACCTGGCATGCAGCATTTTGTTACGTAAATGAGCCCCAGCTCCCCTACTGGCTGGACCAGCAATAGGCAGCCCCTGGTCCCCATGGCTACCCCCAGCCGGACTCCCCTCCACCAGGAGAGTTCATTATCCCTGAGAAGTTCACCGTTGCAGTAAAAAGGCGACACCTCCTTAATTACCCTGCTAATTACAAGTCCTGTAGTCCTCAACTGTGCACCAACACCGTTGCAAATCTCATTTCCTTGCAAAGTCCAGGATAAACAAATCCAATATATTTTGTTTTAATTATTGCTGTTTAATGGACCATAATGAAACTATAGTGAGGGTGCACAAAAGGAGATCATTTGGAGTATCCACCTGTGCAGGTCCAGTGGTGAGTGGGAGCCTCGATGTTCAGGTTTCATTTACCGTAATCCCAGCTGCCTCTCTGTGCCCAGAAATCCCATCACTTATTTATCGGCCTTGCCTTTGGCTCTGAGCCCGCCACCAGGGCAGGATGTCTGCCCTCCTGGAGAGCAATCTAAAACCCGAGGACCTCGGGGATGGTGGAATTTCTCCACATGCCAGGTGCCTGGATTTGACAAGCCACACAAAAAGGCATTTTGTTTTATCTCAGGGTTTTTTCTTTTTTCCATTTTTACAGGCTAAAACAGTTTATCATACATATATTGACTATATTGTATTTTTTTAAGTTGTTTGTGCCGGGCCAAGGTGGGGGGACTTCCTCTTCTCCGCCTGTTTTCTTTTTGAAAGGTTCATAGCTTGTGAGAGCTTTTAATGTCATAAGGCTTTCATCTTCCATTTGTCATCTGTGACACAGATGTTTTTCCCAATTTCTTGTGTGGCAGTGGTTGTGTGTCCACTCACATGACAGTCTCAACTGCCTCGGCCCTTTTAGTCTTGGTGAGGGTGGGAGACAGCCCCCAAGGCCCCATTCCCCCAGAAAGTCCTTGCGGCAGGAACATCAGAGCTCCACCAGTTGGGTGAGGTAGCACCCGGCACTGATTCTCTGGCTACCCAAGAAGAGAGACCCTCTCCTTGCCAACCCCAGCAGGGCCTGTCTCACCCATCTTCCCCCCAAGGGCCTTCCTCCTTCCTGCCCTCCTGCATCCCTGGCTCTTCAACCTCTTTATTCCCATCTTGCATTCAGGCTCCTGGCTTTTTGAGTCTTTGTTTCTACTTAGGAAGGGATTAGGGGAGGACAAAACAACCTGGGACACCAAAGAGGGAAGAAAGGGGAAAGAAATCTGCAAGAAAGCCACACAGTCCAGGAGCGCGTCCAGCAGGACAGCTGGACTTCACCGGTGTGTTTTCTCAGAAAGTCTTCTAAACCCTGTGGCCCTCCCCAGGTCTGCAGGTGGGGCTCCTTTCAGAATTCACCATCATCAAAGGAGCACTAGATGGCAGGATTGGGGGAGGCTGTGTCAGCAGCAGAGGAGGTGGGAGGACCTTTGAGACTGCTGCAGGTGAAGCTGGGCTCTGCAGACCCACATCGGGCTCCTTACTCACTGTCCTTGACCCTAGAGAGCCCAGACAGCCCCAGGAGGAAGTGGCAGATGCCCCTCTCTGGGATTCCTTGGCTCAGCCTGGGGCCGGCCCCGGGCACACAAAAAACCAGAGGGGAGCTGAGGCAAGTAGCGGGCTTATCTGGCTCCTAATTATGGTCCTGGGGTTATTGGGAGAAAGTGGGTCTTGTATGTGCTTCTATCTATTCAATCAACAAACTGTTGCCAGGCCAGAGGGTCCCAGGCATTCCCAGGGTTGTCCTGCTGTGGGGGCACCTGCGTAGTGATGGGACAGAGGGCTCTGCAGGTGCACTAAGGAGTTTATTCCCATTTTGCTGCTGCCAGCAGCCTGTGCTTTTATAGATTCATTCCTGCGGTCCTGTTACCTCCCCCTTATCTTTATTAAGTAGCAGACATGTTCCTAACACCAGGCCTGGGCACTCTGCCCAGCCTGGGCACTGCCAGGCCTGGGCACTGCAGAGGAGTGCTGGCAAAACCAGCTCCCGGGTGCTCCCAGCCCAGCCCCACACCATCTTCTTGGCTGGCTTTTATGTGAACTAGTGTTTGTCTCATCTCCTCACTAGAGATGAGTGTCTCTTGCTTTCTATTTGCTTACTGTGCCATTTATTCCCCCATAAGCCCTTTAAGAGACGTGGTATTTCCCATTCTTTGCAGATAAGAAGCCTGCCACTCACAGAGGTGAGGGAATTTTCCTAAGGTCACACAGCTGGGTGGCCAGGGACAGAGCCAGGTTCAAATGCAGGACTTTGAACATATCCTCGGTTCACAGAGGGCTGGGATGGGACTGTCTTCACCTCCCCGCACCCCAGGTCTGCAGGGCACCGAGAGACTGTCCTTGAATGGCACCTTAGGTTGATCTAGGAACCCTGAGTTAGGAGAAGCCTCAGAGGTCACCAGAACCTCATTCATGCCAGGCAGGAGCCCACCAGGACCTGGCAAATGAAGCCTGAAGATGCCCCTGCCTGGCTGTCCCCACCTTCCCCCACAGACACCCCTGTCTCCCAGTCAGATCCAAAGAACACACAGAACACATCTGCTCTCTTTTTAAATCAGTTACGTTTTTTCTTTTAAATAAAATTATATATCTTCACTGAAGAAAATGTAGAAAACATAGCTAAATAAGAAGAGAATAAAAACCACACATGATCTCACTAATGAGAGAAAAGCTTTCCAGTGTTGACTGTAATGAATTTCTGCCTGGTGTTTTTTCTATACAAATAGTTGTAAACAAAAATAGGATCATATTGTGAAGACTTCTGTGACCAGCTTTTTGAATCAAACAGTGTTGTTGAACATCTTGCTATAAACATCATCTTCAATGTCTTCTCCATAATTTGGATGGATGGATGAATGGACGGATGGATGGATGGATGGATAGATGGAAGGATGGATGGATGGATGGAAGGATGGATGGATGGGTTTGCTTCACTTTAATCTAAGCAATACCACACATCCACAATGGACAACAGAGGAAGTTGTTCTCTTTCCACTACCTGATTGAGAGTGGTAGCTTACTGGCACGGCAGGGCTCTTGTTCTGATTTCATTAGATCTCAAATGGTCTCACTTGGGCTCCAGGAGGGTGGTCAAGAAGAGTGAAGATCAAAAAGGTTTTTCTCTCCACCACTCTGTCCCAGTGGTACAGAAACACAGGTGCCACTGGCCACCAGCTGTGCAGGGTCTCAGCTCTGCCAGTGACCTGCTTCCCTAAGCTTTATAAATTCCACTGCTGATCACCTGCTAAAGCTGACCAATTCCACCATCTCCCAGTCAGCCAGCCAGGAGAGTTTAGGTTCTGCCCGCAAACCAGGACTTCTGGACCTAAGCTGGGAAGGAGGTGGGGGAAGGCAAGAAAGCTATAAAACTCTTCCTCCTGCTTTAAAAAAACAGGACATCGCCTTGTGAGAGAAATAGCTAAATATGATCACACTGGGCTTTAAGTGGAAAAAAAGAGTTAAAAAGAAAAAGAATGACAAGAGAAGCCTCTGATCCGTTCGTTATTCATTCAATAAATACCAACGGCTGTCTCTGTGCTGGGCCAGTGTTGCCCTGGGGAACCCAGCTGTATGTTTTATGGAATAGAATAACACAGGAGGCAATAGTCCCCCCTAAGCTGGCCCCCATACCTCCCCTCAGCCAGCACCATTCCCAGGATGGATAAACCGAGGCTTAGGGAGAGTCTATGCCTCACCCAAGATCATACAGGGACTTCAATGTCATCATTAAATGAGATCTAGTGCTCTGAGTTCCCAAGTGGATATCATTTCTTCCCACACCATTCCCACTGCTCACCCTACTCAGCAGTCATGAAAAGTCAAGAGAAGCTCATGCCAGGGCGGGACCCTCCCCACAGCCACACTCTCCAGCGCTCTGTTTGCATACTCCCTCAGCAAGACCATCTTCTGTGAGTCCAAGTAAAGGAGTCTGGTGGAGTTGAGCTTGTTGGGGACATAAGCGGGGTTGGAGATGTCAGGGTTCACCTTGAAGTGAGAGAAGAAGGACATGAAGGAGGTGTGATGGGAGGCATTGGTCTTGTGGCCCACTGGGAAGACACACCAACCCTTGCAGTAATTGATTCGGTAGCTTGATGGGTGGTGGGAAGACTCAGCCAATGTCCTGGAAGTCCACTTTGTGTCTCACACTCCTCAGCCACCTGGGCTGGCTGGCGGTGATGTCTGGGGCAGCCAGACACTGGGGCAGACGCTACAGCCCCAAGGGCAGCTGCAGAGCAGTGGAGAGCATCAGAGGGGGCTCAGTATGACCATCCCCATTTGACCCTGCCCTGCACCCCAGCTCCCTTTGCCTGTGCCCCAGCCCTTGCACACCACTTCTGGCCTCACAGGCAAAGCTTTACTGGCCAACCAAGAACCACTTCTGCCTTCCAGGTGGTCCTACCTTTTCCTTACCTCGTGGCCACGAGTAACACAACCAGGAGCCAGGCACTGAGCTGTGTGCTTCCCCGTGTTAACTCTGCACCAGGTGCCAAATGGATGGGAGCTAAACAGGATGCCTGCAGCCACACTGCCTGGATTCAAACTCTGGCTCAGGCTCTTACCAGCTGAGTGGCCTTTTTGTGCCTTCGTTTTCCTAGCTGTATAATAGTAATAATAATGGTATAAATCTCCTAGGCCTGCTGAGAACATTAAATTCATATGACTTGGTATAAATGACAATTGATTCAGCTCCACATGAGAGGAACCAAATTGACCCCAGCTTAGGCCTCAAGTGATTCTCCCACCTAGCCTCCCAAGTAGCTAGGACTACAGGTGTGCAACACTACATCTAGCTCATCTTTTTTTTTTTTTTTTTTTTTGGTAGAGACGGGGTCTTGCTGTGTTGCCAAGCTAATCTCAAACTCCTGGGTTCAAGCCATCCACCTGCCTCAGCCTCCCACGGTGCTGGGCTTACAGGGCATAAGACACTGAGCCCAGCCTAATACCATATTTTTACTGCACCTCTTCTATGTTTAGATACGGTTAGAGACACAGATATTTACCATTGTGTTACAATCACCTGCTCTACTCAGGACAGTAAAAGCCTGTACAAGTGTGTAGCCTGGGTGTGTAGTAGGCTATATCATCTAGGTCTGTGTAAGTACACTCTATGATGTTCACACAACAACAAAATCACCTAATGATGCATTTCTCAGAATGTATCCCCATCATTAATCAACACATGACCGTACCCACAAATTCCCTTTCAGACAAACTGAATGAGCAAGTCATTGCTTCCAAGCCAGTGCACATTTGCAATGGAAAGACAACCCCAATAAACATTTTATCTTTGAATATTAGCAATAGAAAAAATCTTCAATTTTGTGCAGTCTGACATCCCATACCCCAAAGTAGGAACCCAGAGAACAATGTCCCTGATTGCCATTATAGATTTGAGTTCCTAGAGCACCAAGGTGCCCCGCCTCATTGATTGGCATTTTGTGCCTCGGTTTCCCCATCTGTATAATAGCAGTAATACTGGTAAACCTCACAGGCTTGCTGAGAGTATTAAACTCATATGCCTTGGCATGGATGAGCTACTTCTCATAGCCCAAGGCAATATTCACAAGGTTGGGCATTCAGTGGTTTGTGAGGATGCCAAAGGGCCCATTGGTGTTCAGACCCAAGTCCAGCACGATGTGGCCCAGGTTTTCTTGATTTTACTCATTCATATTCTCTAATTTCAGCCACATTCCATCTTTGTATCTAAGATCTACTATTGACTTCACATTTTTCTGTCAATTGCCTCACTTTGGTAACCAAAAGTGTAATTTAAATGGACACTTGGTAGCACTATGATAAACTCAGTATTCTTATGCACACAAGGATCAATATAAAATAAACACATCGTACAAATGATACTCCAATAGCAACGTGCACAAAAAGGGCTCACTGGCTTCTAAATAATATTCCCCACTGCAACAGGGGCCAGGCTTGCAAATGTTACATAAGTTTGAAATTATTTCAGAATGAAGAGTTTAAAATCGGGAGGAGGGAGGAAGGGAGGGAAGGACAGGACTTCTCAGAAGGAGGTCTGATTCCAGCCAGGATACGGAATGTACACAAGGAGCTGTGCCAGGAGGTGAGGACATGGCCAAAGGCAATGGGAGCCTGTCAAAAGGCCACCAGCACTATCTCACAGCAGCTCCTGGCCAAGACTAGGAATATTTGAGCATCAAAATAAATGATGAGGCTAATGGATTATAATCTAGTGAATAAAACAAAATTCCATGAGTCCATTCTGATGGAAATAAATAAGGAGGAGCAGCTCTTCCTTCCAGTAAATGCCGATAATAAATGTAGGAGTGACAGAGTCAGAAAATCCTTTGGCAGCCCTCATAGTAATAATGCATTCAGGCAAAACTCATCAATGAGGTTAAAACACTGGGCAAAAGTTGGATGAGGAATAGGATACTTGCATAATCTCAGAAAGATGTCCCCACAAATTACTTACTGAGCTCAAAGGCGTTAAAATTAGCTTACATTCGCAGGGCCTGGAGTCGACCACCCTACCCAGGGATTTCGGGACAGATGTGCCCCTCCTGATGTGATCAGCTACAGATGCTTCACCCAGAGCATGAGGAAACATCAGGCAGACCCAAACCAAGAGACATTCTGTGAACTCCAAATTGTGAATGTCATGAAGGCTGAGGAAGGGCGGGGGACTATCCCAGCTGCAGGAGACTAAAGGGGTAGATGACCGAATGCAGCATGGGAGCCTGGACAGGCAGGCAGGAGAGCTGCTAAGGACAGTGTGGGAAGAGCTGGCAAAGTGTGAATGTGGATCAGTGTTGTGTCAATGTGAAGTTTCCTGGTTTTGATAACTGTACTGCGATTCTCTAAGAGATCGCCCTTGTGCCTTGGAAAAACATTGAAATATTTAGGCGCAAAGGGGCATGATACCTGCAACTTACTCTCAAACGTTTGGGGAAAAAAAAATGTGTACTTGTGTATGCATGCGTGCATGTATATGTGTCTGGAGAGAGAGAGAGGAGAGGAGAAGAAAGACAGAAGAGGAGAAGGGGAGGAGAGGGAGAAAGAGAGGAGAGGAGAGATGAGGAAAGAAGGGGAAGGGAGAGGGGAGAGAATACAAATGGTAAAATAAATGGAACAAAAACATAAACAGTTGGTGAATTTGGATCAAAAGCTCATGGGAGTTATCTGCCACTCTCATAGCTTTTCCGTAAGTTTGAAGTTATTTCTAAATAGAAACATCTTTAAAGTGAAAGGTATTTGACCGTGTGCTGATCCAGATGCTCTGCTTTGGGCACCACCAAAAGAGTGACAAAGGGATGTGGCTGACAGCTCCCAGCCCCCCAGCACCTGTGTGTGAGGTATCTGGGAGTCCTCCCAACCGTGATCTCCCCACACCTGTAAATGAGCCAGATAGGCTGGAGGAGACTCCTCTGAAATGAGGCATACAGAAGCACCAGGAGTGGTGTCTGGTAGGTCCTGGGTGCTCCATGACACTGCTCCCCTCACCCCTGGACCCCTCTAGTCCAGAAGGTCCAGACCCTCACTGTCTTACATCTGGGTGACATCAAAAGTTAGCCAGCTTTGGGAGGCCAGAGGCATGCTTCTGGCCAAGAGGAGGCTCCCTCCTTCTGACTCTGGGGTAGATCCAAGGAATTTGTGGATTTTACCTGGGGACACAGCACTCCTGCCATGAGCATAGCCCTCACTCCCAAAAGAGAAGAAGAAAAGCTACACATCGTGCCCTTGAGAAATAAGACACAGGTGCAAGAAAAGCTTGCTGTCATGCAAGCAGGGAGGTGGAAGGTGAACGGCCTCTGACCTGGGAAGTCTTGCAAGAAACTGATGTAAAATGAGAGGGGAGAAAGATTTCATGCATGGAAATGTCCAGAGGGGTTATTTATAACAGAAGAAGCTGGGAAATTGATGTTAAGTAAATTAGGATACACCCACTTGATACAATATTATGTGATCCGAAGAACTCTTCAAAGGGGAAAATGATTGGATTAAGACATCAAATGAAAATATACAGATAGATAAACTATAATCTACCATGAAAAACTATAAGAAAAAAGACTGGAAGGAAATAGATCTAGATGTTAATTACAGTCGCTCCTGAGTGGTGCGATCATGGGTGTCTTACTTGCCTCTCCTTTGGACTTTTTGTAGTTCCCATGGGTTATGTTACCTTGTTGCCTGTGGAATAAAATCCAACTGCCTTGTTCCCATTCCTGGCCTTCTGTGATGAGCCCTGGCTCATCACTCATTCCAGCAGTGCCCTCCTTGCCCATGCTCTCTTCCTCCTAGAGTCCCTCCTGGGCCTAGCAAAGTCTGTGCAGCTCTCAAGGCCAGCTCAGACGACAGGAGCGTTTCTGGGGACAACGCTGGCCTCCAGTGTTGCCCCACTGATGAGTGTGGAAGAGTGAGTGTAGTGCCGTTTCGGATACCTGCCTCCTAGGCATCCAGCTCTGTCCCTTAAGACCCTCCCCAAAACGGGCATTCTCCCTGCCTCTCCATGGCTCCTGGAGAGCCTGTCTCTCCACCTTGTCTCCCCAGATCAGGGCCTTTGAGAACAGAGCCCTTACCTGACTTACCCTTAGAAATAAACAAGAAACAAGCAGTAAAGGAGTGAGGGGAACAGGGAGAGGAAAGGAGTTGGGGCTTGCTAGATCACCCGGAAACACAGAGCACCCACCCTGTGCCACCTGCATGCTGGCTGCTGGGACGCCCACCCCGGCTCCTTCAGAAACAGCCCTGGAGCCAGAGCTGCTGCCCTCGTGGCTTCTCCCCCACAGGCCACCCCCAGGCCAGGCTTGAGGCCAGGAAACTGGCTTGCAGGGAGCCCAGGGGAAATGCATCTGGACGGGTCAAAGCCGGCTGTCCTCCCCAGGAGCGCTCCCTCCAGCGTGGACTCGCAGACTGCCTCCCGGCACCGCACCACACCACAGGCCTCTCACCTGTGCTAATGCTAGGCTTTGTCTCAGGAAGTAGTCTCCTGCGGATGCCAGAGCTTGAACATGTGGAGCTGAGCTTGGCTGTCAGAACCTTCTCCAGCTTGGCCCAGGGGAGACCCTGGAGGAAAAGGGCGGCTGTCGGTGCTGTTAGGAGCCCGCGGCCCCTAGCACTCGCCCTTGGGCGGGGTTGGGAATAAGGGTAAGGCCGGGGAGGCTGGGTCCGAGGAACAAAAGCGTTAGGTCCGGGGTGGCGCTCCTGCCCTCCAGTAAGGGGGCCTCACTCCTGCTCCCCTTCTCCCAGTCTGTTTCCCTCTCCCCTCCCCGACACGCCCCCACCTCCAGACCCACCCTCCATCTCCCCCCCACCCACCAGGCAGCCCAGCACCCTCTCCCCCTGGAGGCACCACACGTGTTGCCTGTGGCAGCGTTGGTCCTTGGTGACCCCGCTGGAGTCGGCACCCTTCTGGAAGGGGTCCCGCATGCAGCCAAGTGTGGGTGGGGGAACACATGGGCGTGCCCCTCCAGGGCAACAGGTGTTCCATCTCCAACACCAGCTGCTTCTCCTTCTCGGCCTCGTACCTGGCCACCAGTGCCCCCAGGCCCAGGAGCAGAGGACCAGGCTGGCCCAGCTCGCCACAGGCAGCAACTGCAGGGCAACGGCTCCCGCCCTGGGGGTGGGGGTGGTGACCAAGGGCTGGGTAGGTCTGGCCCCACCCTCCCTGGAAAGGAGGCCTCCTGAGGGGACAGAGTGGGTACCCTCTGTGCCCAGGACCATACTTGTGTTTGGGCCTCAGTTTCCCCATCTGCAAAGAGCTCCTGAAACCCCCATAGAGGGTACCCGGAGGACACTCTGAGGTTGTAAGTGGAGCACCAGCAAAGCACAGGCACCAAATATTAACTACTTTAATGATTTCACACTAGATACCTAAAGAAAAAAATCTCAACTCCAGAAGTGCATGGGAGGAAAATCTGTGCTTCTAGGGCCCTCCTGTGCTTGCATTTGGTATTGTTTGTATTTGGAAGTGAATTGTAGGGAAGGGCATTTTACCGCTTCAGGGTTTGGGGGCTCCAAAGGCCCTTACAGAATTCTCATCTGCTTCTCATGCCCTCATGGGGGCAAGAGTGGATCCCCAATATAGATCCCTCCCAGGGCAGAATGTGGGCCCCAGGGGCATTCCTCAGCCCAGACTGCAGGCCACAAGCCCGGGCTTCTGCCCTGCCTCAGCACCCATAGCTGAGGGCAAATTACGTTGCTTTGCCCTGCCTCAGTTTCTCCATTTGCAGTCAGGGATGAACACTTCATGCGCAGGACTGCAATGAGTAATAAATCAAATGAGGGTGTGAGCCTACCCAGCTCACAACAACCACTGCTGGACAAAACCCAGCTCTGCCCACCTCATAGTTTTTTCAAATTCCTGACTAGGCTTAAAAAAGACTGGTCAATCTGGTTGGACCCCAACATTTTTAAAGCCAGAAGTCTGAGAATCTTTCAGGGGAAGTATGGGAGCAATGCTGTGGGTGTTGCACTAACTCTGTTCAGTAAAAAGAACTGGGCTTGGAGTGACAGAGACCTAACTTCCCGTTCTGCCCCTGCCGGGGATGTGTGCAAACCCAGGCATGCTGTTTGAACTCAGCTTTGTCATCTACAAACAGGAATAACAACATTCCTGCCAAGGGCTGTGGGGAAGATCAGGGATCAAGATCACTCCACTTACCGGCTCTGTGGGAGGCTTGGTGCTGGCTGAGGTGTGTCAGTGACTGCCACGGGCTGCACCCCTCACTGTTGCCTGAAGTCACCCAAGGTCGCCCAAGGTCAGTGGGAAATATCCAGGGATGACGGTGGATCCTGGGAGCGCCTCACAACAGCTACCTTCGGCACAGCACGACTTTGGAAGGCCTAAAGTTTGAACCAAAAATGGAGCCCCTGCCGCTCTCCCCATATGGGATTCAAATTGAAAAGCTACAAGGTAAAATAAGAGAAGCCACAGGTGCAGAGTTTTCTTCCTGGGGGCAAGCCTGTTACTTTTCTTTTTTTTTTTTTATTGTAAATATACTTGTTTTTATTTTTTATTTATTTATTTATTTTTTTATTATACTTTAAGTTCTAGGGTACATGTGCACAAAGTGCAGGTTTGTTGCATATGTATACATGTGCCATATTGGTGTGATGCACCCATTAACTCATCATTTACATTAGGTATATCTCCTAATGCTATCCCTCCCCTCTCCCTCCACCCCACAACAGGCCCCGGTGTGTGCTGTCCCCCTTCCTGTGTCCAAGTGTTCTCATTGTTCAATTCCCACCTATGAGTGGAACATGCGGTGTTTGGTTTTTTGTCCTTGTGATAGTTTGCTGAGAATGATGGTTTCCAGCTTCACCCATGTCCCTACAAAGGACATGAACTCATCATTTTTTATGGCTGCATAGTATTCCATGGTGTATATGTGCCATATTTTCTTAATCCAGTCTATCACTGTTGGACATTTGGGTTGGTTCCAAGTCTTTGCTATTGTGAATAGTGCCACAATAAACATACATGTGCATGCGTCTTTATAGCAGCATGTTTTATAATCCTTTGGGTATATACCCAGTAATGGGATGGCTGGGTCAAATGGTATTTCTAGTTCTAGATACTTGAGGAATCACCACACTGTCTTCCACAATGGTTGAACCAGTTTACAGTCCCACCAACAGAGCAAAAGTGTTCCTATTTCTCCACATCCTCTCCAGCACCTGTTGTTTCCTGACTTTTTAATCATCGCCATTCTAACTGGTGTGAGATGGTATCTCGTTGTGGTTTTGATTTGCATTTCTCTGACGGCCAGTGATGATGAGCATTTTTTCATGTGCCTGTTGGCTGCATAAATGTCTTCTTTTGAGAAATCCCTGTTCATATCCTTTGCCCACTTGTTGATGGGGTTGTGTGTTTTTTTCTTGTAAATTTGTTTGAGTTCTTTGTAGATTCTGGGTATTAGCCCTTTGTCAGATGAGTAGATTGCAAAAATTTTCTCCCATTCTGTAGGTTGCCTGTTCACTCTGATGATAGTTTCTTTTGCTGTGCAGAAGCCCTTTAGTTTAATTAGATCCCATTTGTCAATTTTGGCTTTTGTTGCCACTGCTTTTGGTGTTTTAGACATGAAGTCTTTGCCCATGCCTATGTCCTGAATGGTATTGACTAGATTTTCTTCTAGGGTTTTTATGGTTTTAGGTCTAACATTTAAGTCTTTAATCCATCTTGAAGTAATTTTTGTATAAGGTGTAAGGAAGGGATCCAGTATCAGCTTTCTACATATGGCTAGCCAGTTTTCCCAGCACCGTTTGTTAAATAGGGAATCCTTTCCCCATTTCTTGTTTTTGTCAGGTTTATCAAAGATTAGATGGTCGTAGATGTGTGGTATTATTTCTGAGGGCTCTGTTCTGTTCCATTGGTCTATACCTCTGTTTTGGTACCAGTACCATGCTGTTTTGGTTACTGTAGCCTTGTAGTATAGATTGAAGTCAGGTAGCGTGATGCCTCCAGCTTTGTTCTTTTGCCTTAGGATTGATTTGGCAATGCGGGCTCTTTTTTGGTTCCATATGAACTTTGAAGTAGTTTTTTTCCAATTCTGTGAAGAAAGTCATTGGTAGCTTGATGGGGATGGCATTGAATCTATAAATTACCTTGGGCAGTATGGCCATTTTCACAATATTGATTCTTCCTATCCATGAGCATGGAATGTTCTTCCATTTGTTTGTATCCTTTTTCATTTCCTTGAGCAGTGGTTTGTAGTTCTCCTCGAAGAGGTCCTTCACGTCCCTTGTAAGTTGGATTCCTAGGTATTTTATTCTCTTTGAAGCAATTGTGAATGGGAGTTCACTCATGATTTGGCTCTCTGTTTGTCTGTTATTGGTGTATAAGAATGCTTGTGATTTTTGTACATTGATTTTGTATCCTGAGACTTTGCTGAAGTTGCTTATCAGCTTAAGGAGATTTTGGGCTGAGATGATGGGGTTTTCTAGATATACAATCATGTCATCTGCCAACAGGGACAATCTGACTTCCTCTTTTCCTAATTGAATACCCTTTATTTCTTTCTCCTGCCTGATTGCCCTGGCCAGAACTTCCAACACTATGTTGAATAGGAGTGGTGAGAGAAGGCATCCCTGTCTTGTGCCAGTTTTCAATGGGAATGCTTCCAGTTTTTGCCCATTCAGTATGATATTGGCTGTGGGTTTGTCATAGATAGCTCTTATTATTTTGAGATACGTCCCATCAATACCTAATTTATTGAGAGTTTTTAGCATGAAGAGTTGTTGAATTTTGTCAAAGGCCTTTTCTGCATCTATTGAGATAATCATGTGGTTTTTGTGTTTGGTTCTCTTTATATGCTGGATTACATTTATTGATTTGCATATGTTGAACCAGCCTTGCATCCCAGGGATGAAGCCCACTTGACCATGGTGGATAAGATTTTTGATGTGTTGCTGGATTCGGTTTGCCAGCATTTTATTGAGGATTTTTGCATCGATATTCATCAGGGATATTGGTCTAAAATTCTCTTTTTTTGTTGTGTTTCTGCCAGGCTTTGGTATCAGGATGATGCTGGCCTCATAAAATGAGTTAGGGAGGATTCCTTCTTTTTCTATTGATTGGAATAGTTTCAGAAGGAATGGTACCAGCTCTTCCTTGTACCTCTGGTAGAATTTGGCTATGAATCTGTCTAGTCCTGGACTTTTTTTGGTTGGTAAGCTATTAATTATTCCCTCAATTTCAAAGCCTGTTATTGGTCTATTCAGAGATTCAGCTTCTTCCTGGTTTAGTCTTGGGAGGGTGTATGTAGAGGAATTTATCCATTTCTTCTAGATTTTCTAGTGTATTTGCATAGAGGTGTTTATAGTATTCTCTGATGGTAGTTTGTATTTCTGTGGGATCGGTGGTGCTATCCCCTTTATCATTTTTTTATTGCGTCTATTTGATTCTTCTCTCTTTTCTTCTTTATTAGTCTTGCTAGCGGTCTATCAATTTTGTTTATCCTTTCAAAAAACCAGCTCCTGGATTCATTGATTTTTTGAAGGGTTTTTTGTGTCTCTATCTCCTTCAGTTCTGCTCTGATCTTAGTTATTTCTTGCCTTCTGCTAGCTTTTGAATGTGTTTGCTCTTGCTTTTCTAGTTCTTTTAATTGTGATGTTAGGGTGTCAATTTTAGATCTTTCCTGCTTTCTCTTGTGGGCATTTAGTGCTATAAATTTCCCTCTACACACTGTTTAAATGTGTCCCAGAGATTCTGGTATGTTGTGTCTTTGTTCTCATTGGTTTCAAAGAACATCTTTATTTCTGCCTTCATTTCATTATGTACCCAGTAGTCATTCAGGAGCAGGTTGTTCAGTTTCCATGTAGTTGAGCGGTTTTGAGTGAGTTTCGTAATCCTGAGTTCTAGTTTCATTGCACTGTGGTCTGAGAGACAGTTTGTTATAATTTCTGTTCTTTTACCTTTGCTAAGGAGTGCTTTACTTCCAACTATGTGGTCAATTTTGGAATAAGTGCAGTGTGGTGCTGAGAAGAATGTATATATTCTGTTGATTTGGGGTGGAAAGTTCTGTAGATGTCTATTAGGTCCGCTTGGTGCAGAACTGAGTTCAGTTCCTGGATATCCTTGTTAATTGTCTGTCTCGTTGATCTGCCTAATGTTGACTGTGGGGTGTTAAAGTCTCCCATTATTACTGTGTGGGAGTCTAAGTCTCTTTGTAGGTCTCTAAGGACTTGCTTTATGAATCTGGGTCCTCCTGTATTGGGTGCATATATATTTAGGATAGTTAGCTCTTCTTGTTGAATTGATCACTTTACCATTATGTAATGGCCTTCTTTGTCACTTTTGATCTTTCTTGGTTTAAAGTCCGTTTTATCAGAGACTAGGATTGCAACCCCTGCCTTTTTTTGTTTTCCATTTGCTTGGTAGATCTTCCTCCATCCCTTTATTTTGAGCCTATGTGTGTCTCTACACGTGAGATGGGTTTCCTGAATACAGCACACTGATGGGTCTTGACTCTTTATCCAATTTGCCAGTCTGTGTCTTTTAATTGGAGCATTTAGCCCATTTACATTTAAGGTTAATACTCTTATGTGTGAATTAGATCCTGTCATTATGATGTTAGCTGGTTATTTTGCTCATTAGTTGGTGCAGTTTCTTCCTAGCCTCGACGGTCTTTACAATTTGGCATGTTTTTGCAGTGGCTGGTAACGGTTGTTCCTTTCCATGTTTAGTGCTTCCTTCAGGAGCTCTTGTAGGACAGGCCTGGTGGTGACAAAATCTCTCAGCATTTGCTTGTCTGTAAAGTATTTTATTTCTTCTTTACTTATGAAGCTTAGTTTGGCTGGATATGAAATTCTGGGTTGAAAATTCTTTTCTTTAAGTATGCTGAATATTGGCCCCCACTCTCTTCTGGCTTGTAGAGTTTCTGTCGAGAGATCAGCTGTTAGTCTGATGGGCTTCCCTTTGTGGGTAACCCGAGCTTTCTCTCTGGCTGCCCTTAACATTTTTTCCTTCATTTCAACTTTGATGAATCTGACAATTATGTGTCTTGGAGTTGCTCTTCTCGAGGAGTATCTCTGTGGCATTCTCTGTATTTCCTGAATTTGAATGTTGGCCTGCCTTGCTAGGTTGGGAAAGTTCTTCTGGATAATATCCTGCAGAGTGTTTTCCAACTTGCTTCCATTCTCGCCATCACTTTCGAGTACACCAATCAGACGTAGATTTGGTCTTTTCACATAGTCCCATATTTCTTGGAGCCTTCGTTCGTTTCTTTTTATTCTTTTTTCTCTAAACTTGTCTTCTTGCTTCATTTCATTCATTTGATCTGTCATCACTGATACCCTTTCTTACAGTTGATCGAATCAGCTACTGAAGCTTGTGCATTCATCACGTAGTTCTCGTGCCATGGTTTTCAGCTCCATCAGGTCCTTTAAGGACTTCTCTGCATTGGTTATTCTAGTTAGCCATTCGTCTAACCTTTTTTCAAGGTTTGTAACTTCTTTGCTATGGGTTCGAACTTCCTCCTTTAGCTCAGAGAAGTTTGATCGTCTGGAGCCTTCCTCTCTCAACTTGTGAAAGTCATTGTCCATCCAGCTTTGTTCCGTTGCTGGTGAGGAGCTGCGTTCCTTTGGAGGAGGAGAGGCGCTCTGATTTTTAGAATTTTCAGTTTTTCTGCTCTGTTTTTTCCCCATCTTTGTTGTTTTATCTACCTTTGGTCTTTGACGATGGTGACGTACAGATGGGGTTTTGGTGTGGATGTCCTTTCTGTTAGTTTTCCTTCTAACAGTCAGGACCCTCAGCTGCAGGTCTGTTGGAGTTTGCTGGAGGTCCACTTCAGACCCTGTTTGCCGGGGTATCAGCAGCGGAGGCTGCAGAACAGCGAATATTGGTGAACAGCAAATGGTGCTGCCTGTTCGTTCCTCTGGAAGTTTCATCTTAGGGGGTACCCGGCTGTGTGGGGTGTCAGTCTGCCCCTACTTGGGGGTGCCTCCCAGTTAGGCTACTTGGGGGTCAGGGACCCACTTGAGGAGGCAGTCTGTCTGTTCTCAGATCTCAAGCTCCGTGTTGGGAGAACCACTACTGTCTTCCAAGTTGTCAGACAGGGATATTTAAGTCTGCAGAGGTTTCTGCTGCCTTTTGTTTGGCTATGCCCTGCCCCCAGAGGTGGAATCTACAGAGGCAGGCAGGCCTCCTTGAACTGTGGTGGGCTCCACCCAGTTTGAGCTTCCTGGCAGCTTTGTTTACCTACTCAAGCCTCAGCAGTGGCCGGCGCCCCTCCCCCGCCTCGCTGCCACATTACAGTTCTATCTCAGACTGCTGTGCTAGCAATGAGCGAGGCTCCGTGGGTGTAGGAGCCTCCAAGCCAGGCGCGGGATATAATCTCCTGGTGTGCCATTTGCTAAGACCATTGGAAAAGTGCAGTATTAGGGTGGGAGTGATTTGATTTTCCAGGTGCCATTTGTCACCCCTCCCCTTGGCTAGGAAAAGGAATTCCCTGTCCCCTTGTGCTTCCCAGGTGAGGCGATGCCTCGTCCTGCTTCGGCTCATGCTCAGTGTGCTACACCCACTGTCCTGCACCCACTGTCCGACAATCCCCAGTGAGATGAACCCAGTACCTCAGCTGGAAATGCAGAAATCACCTGTCTTCTGCATCTCTCACGCTGGGAGCTGTAGACTGCTGTAGACTGGAGCTGTTCCTATTCGGCCATCATGGAACCGCCCAAGCCTGTTACTTTTCTAGAGTATGAAAATTATTCCAACCCTGTTTCTCATGTGGAAGCTTGGGTGACTGACCCGGGAGAAAGCTCTGGGGCCCTACTACCTTCCAGGCAGCTCTGGTTTCAGCCTAAATGGCCTGGGGCTGTCAGTGACTCTCTCCAGGAAGAGCTTCCTGGCTGCCCAGAGCCCTCTCTCCCACTCCTGCGCATGACTCTGAGGGGTGTCAGTCACCCCATGCCCAGCAGCCCAGGCTCACCAAGACGGCCTCTTCCCAGGGCTCAGAGGGATGAACAAGCATCGGTGTGTGGAGGAGGGGGCGTCTGGAGAGGGGGGGTCTTGAGATTGCACCTGCCTTGGGATAGGTTCCTCCTTGGTCCAAGGGTGAGTTGGGGATGGGAAGTGTGTTAGTCCATTTGCATTATTATAAGGAGATGCCTGAGGCTGGGTAATTTATAAAGAAAAGAGGTTTATTTGGCTCAAGGTTCTGCAGGCTGTACAAGAAGCATGGCACCAGCATCTGCTTCTGGGGAGGGCTCAGGCAGCTTCCACTCATGGTGGAAGAGAGAGCAAGAGAGAGAGGGGAGGCAACAGGCTCTTAACCAGTTCTCCTGTGAACTTATAAAGCGAGAGCTCACTCATTATGGTGAGGACAGCACCAAGCCATTCATGAGGGATCCACCCCCAAACACCTCCCACTAGGCCCACCTCCAATATTGAAGGCCACATTTCAACATGAGATTTGGAGGGGACAGACATCCAAACCATATCAGGGAGAGGCGCCTGAACTGACTCCTAGCTCATGGAGAGCTCATGTGTTAAATGCCCGGTAGCTTCATGCCACCTGCACTACCATGGGCTGGCAGCTGCTCTGAGGTCTCTTCTGATGACACCGTTGGCTGATGACCACAGGCAAGAGCCAAAGTTGGGCAGAACCAAGCCTCTCAGCAGACAGATGATCAACCGCCATGGGGTAGCACCCTTAAATCACTTGAGAGGTAGCGGCTGGCTGATGGATGGCCTTTAACCCCCAGATACTTTAGCGGATATTTCCCAAGAACAAGTACATTCTCTGACGTAACCACAGTCCAGTTGCCAAATCCAGAGAGTTCACAGTGACACTATGCTACTATGGAATAAACTACCCTGATTAGAGAATCAGGGGCTTCCTGGACTGCATTTAGAACTCGAGTGTTTTGTGTCTCCCCTCTTGTAGAACAGCCTTTTGGGGTGTTTTATAACCTGACATTTTTTAAGAATTCAGGCCAGATTCTTTTATACAGCACTGTTTTTAAACAAATGGTATCACATTGCAAATCCTGCTCCACAAGTTTTTTCTCACTTAGCTGTATATGTGTGAGGTATTTCTGCATCAGTAAATAAATGGCCACTGTGTCCCCTTGAAACTGCACCTCAGTGTATAAATAAATACAGCACTCAGGACTGTGACTAAACCATCGTCACATTGTTCCTGCCCAGATAGATTATAGGTTGCCACAATTTGAAATGACATGCCTGTGTATGTGCCTCTTTGTCAGAATTTAAATAGATACAGCAAAATGATCAGTTTACATTTCCATCAACAGAAAGCACCCCTTTCCAACATGGAGAACAGCATCCATTTTTGGCTATTTTTCCCACATAATGGTTCATAGGCACCTCCGCTGTGGCTGAGTTGGGTCATTTGACTCTGCAGCCAAGATTCTGTGTCTGCACCTGATACTGATCATGTGAACTTCACACATTATTGTTTTCTTATCACTTTCTATATGGTTTCTACATTTTGGGTACAAATCCTGTGCTGGATATGTTGCAGGTATGTTGTCCCAGACTGTTTTTATCATTACTTATAATGTCTGGTACAGCTGAGAAGCTTTAACATTATGACAGATTAAAATATATCCATCTTTTTGTCTATATTTTATAGTTCTTTATGTGGGTGTGTGGATGTGTTGCTTTTGAGGGCCTTTCCTAGTCTTTTTATACACAGGTTATTCAATAATTTCTCCCAATGCTTTTATGTATTTTTACTTTTAGTTCTTTAATTTTTTGTTTTTTTATTTTTGAGACAGGGTCTCACTCTGTCACCCAGGCTGGACTGCAGTGGCGCAATCATGGCTCACCACAGCCTTGAACGCCCAGCTCAAGGGATCCTCCCACCTCCCCCTCCAGAGTAGCTGGGACCACAGGTGCACACCACCACACCCTGCTAACTTTTCTATTTTTTTGTAGAGACAGGGTTTCACCATGTTGCCTAGGCTTGTCGCGAACTCCTGGGTTCAGGCAATCTGTCTGCCTTGGCCTCCCAAAGTGCTGGGATTACAGAAGTGAGCCACCTCGCCTGGCCTTGAAATTAATTTGTACATAATTATCTACAACTATCTGCAATATGTTACAAGTAGATCTAGCTTTTCAGTACTGTTTGTTAAGTAAGTCTCCTTGTCCTTCTGGCCCCAGACCATGTAGAAATTTCCTGTGTGTATACGAGCTGTTACTGGATCCACTCTGGTTCACTGATAGGTTTGTCTTTTTTATAGACCAACGATGCTTTATCATTATCATTATTGTGTAACTCTGTGATCCATCTATGTGTCTGGTGAGGGCAAACTTTCCAGAAGCCCCGCAGGGCAGTGAGTAAAACAGAAAGAAAGTGCTGAAACCCAGGACATGGAAGCTTTGTTTTCACAGAGTCAGAGGGCAGGGGCCCCAGAGGAAAAGGTACTTGTCCCAGGTCACCCAGCAAGGGGTTCCTGACCCCCACTGGAGTCCCTCTCTGCTCCCTCCTGTTGAAAGAGACCCTGACCCAACCAGAGGGCCCTCCCCTCAGCACTCCACTGGAGTGGGCCTCCTTGGGTCCTCACACCGCCTGGGCAGACCACCATCTTTCATAAGGAAATCCATACTGATCTCCTTTACCCAGCCCTGATTGTGCGGCACGAGGAGGGGACCAAGAGAAGAAAGGCCCTGTTCCTGGCAGCAGCTGCCTGGGAATCTGCATTTCCCTCCCTTGGGGAACCTGCTCTGGAGGGAAAGGTTTGGGGTGACCCTGGGACAGATGAGCCTCCTCCTGGGCAGAGGGTAGTAGGGCCCAGGCCTTCCCTCCTAGCCCCGCTCCCTGGACCTCTGGCCAGGGGCCGGGGGAGGACATATCAGAGTCCCCTTAGTGGATGGAGCTCCTTCGTGCAGCTGGGGCTGATGGGTGCCTGCAGCGCAGGCCCTTCCTGAGAGATGCCATGGGCCCCTCTCCCCCAGCTCTGCTGCCAGCCTTGGCCTCTGAATTTTTCTTGGGCACCTTGGAATCACCTGCAATGGAAGTAAAATCCTCTTTTCCTGAGCCGCCTATGGCTCCAGCTCAGGGACGCTTTCTTCACCCAAAGCTAGCAATATGGGTGCCCCAGGGGTCCTGCTCCTCTATTCTGCACAGCACAGCCTCACCCTCTCCCCCACAGGCTCCTGCCTGTCAGTCTATCACATGGCGAGAGAGGAAAGAGATGCTAGGCTCGTTTTAATAATCAGATCTCACATGAGCTAGAATGAGAACTCACTTATTACCTTGAGGATGATACGAAGACATTCATGAGGGATCCACCCCCACGACCAAAACACCTCCCACTAGCTCCACCGCCAGCACTGGGGATTACATTTCAATGTGAGATTTGGAGGGGTCAACTATCACCCTCTTTCATCTGCATCCTGACTTGAAGAAAATTTTTGGTATGTCTCAACAATGGTTTCTTCCTGGTCCTCCTGCCCTTGTAGGTTTACACAATAGGGTTTCAGGAAGGAGCGGGGAAAACTGAGAGCTCAAACTCCCTTTCCAACTGAAGGCCTCTGCTTCATTTTCTAAGTGGCTGTAATGTTGTTAAGGGTGTTTCCTAACTTCGCTGGGCATGAGTAACCAACCACCTTTGTAAGCCAAGAATGCCGAGTTTCAAGCATACTTAAGATCTCCCAAATGCCCCAGGTTGTTGGGGCCCAGGATTAAGCACTGTCTTTGGGACAATAACTTTTCACTGACGGCAGACCATGGCACTGGAGGTCACAGCATGGGGCAAAGTCTCTGCAGTAAAATTTGACGTTGAAGAGACAGGGAGTCTCTGAAAAAAGAGAAAGAAAAAACGCCTATTCTGCTTCTGTATCAGGTGGGTCACTCACCTCTGGTACATAGCCTTGGCTTCCCCATCCTTATTTTAATGAAAGCACCATTGTGCAGGTTGCAGGGACCAAGGGAGGGAAATTATATCAATGATAAATGGAAAATGGTGAATGGAAGTGAATGTGGTTGGTGAATAGCAGGTGGTGGATGGTAAATAGTGAATAGTGAATGATGGATGGTGGATGGAGAATAGAAAAAGGTAGATGGTGAATGGAGATGGAGGGTGAATAGACAGAAGGTGAATAATAAATGGTGGGTGGTTAATGGAGGTGAATGGTGGATAGTGAATGGTGGATAATGAGTGGAGGTGACTGGTGGGTGGTAAATGGTAGATGATGAGTAGAGGTGACTGTAGATGGTGAATGGTGGTTGGCGAATGGTGAAAAATACAAAAACTAGTCAGGCATAAGGCACGGGCCTGTAATCCCAGCTACTCAGGGGGCTGAGGTGGGAGGTCAAGGCTACAAAGAGCTATGATTGCGCCACTGCATCCTAGCCCAGGTGACAGAGTGAGACCCTGTCTCAAAAAAAAAAAAAAAAAAATACAACAGGAGCCACAGATTGAATTATAAATGTTCTAGAAGCAATATTTTTAAAAAGTAAAATGAGACAGATTATGTTAAATTATGTTTTATTTAAGCCAATACATCAAAACATTATTATTTCAACATGTATCCATATACAAATATATTGAAATATTTTACTTTTTTCACCCAAGTCTTTGAAATCCCGTGTGTATTTTAAGCACATCTCAATCTGTGAGAGCCACACTGCAAGCACGCAGCAGCCACCTGAGCCTGGTGCTTACCGTACTGGAAGGGGCAGCAGTGCTGGACGCTATCCCCATGCTCCCACCCACACACTCCTCTCTCTCCTCCAAGAACCTGACCTGGGGTGAAGGCATGCACCCACGACTCTGGTGGTGCCCTTCCTCTACAACTGTCTCCTTATTACTGCGAGTAGAAATTTCACCACTGATTTCATATTCAGAAGATTCACACCTGTATTTGAACATTTCTGTTGCTCACCTGTGATAATTAGCCCTGTGCTTTACTGGGAGCCAATCACAATCCCAAACACCATAATCCCAAACACTATAATCCTGAATGTTGAAATACTGAGAGATTAAAATCCTGAAAATATAACTCTGGAAAAAATAATTTTAAAAAGTTATTGAAAAGATATTTACATTTTCAAAATGGGATTTATTTGAGGAACATATAAAAACATAACAGAACACAGGCTGAGATGTGTGGATCACTTGAGGCCAGGAGTTAGAGACCAGCTTGGGCCAACATGGTAAAACCCCATCTGTACTAAAAATACAAAAAATTATCCGGTATGGTGGTGCATGCCTGTAGTTCCAGCTACTTGGGAGGCTTAGGAAGGAGAATTGCTTGAGCCTGGGAAGCAGAGGTTGCAGTGAGCAGAGATCAGGCCACTGCACTCCAGTCTGGGTGACAGAGAGCAAGACTGTGTCTCAAAAAAATTAAAATAAATAGCAGAACACTTCACAGACCACTTTACACAATAGGCAATAATAACATACATAATTTGCAAGCATAAACACTCAGGTCTACTAAGGGCAGTCACATGAACATAAGAGTAATGAGCAGATATTCATGAAGAAATAGGTCAAAAAGGGATGTATAAACACATATCATTATGGTCAGTCACTACGTGCACCCAGCTTTATAACTGTGGTCATCTGAAATATCATGATGAACAGCCTATCTTTTGAGAAGATCAATCAAAAAACCACAATGGGTCACCAGCACATAAGCAGTTACCCAAACAGCCAAGATCTTAAGAAATCTCTTTTACAAATGCAGATGTACAAAAAGGACATCTCTTCGTTTATTGAAGAAGTTTCAACATTCCTATGTATATACACAATGCTTACACACAGTCAACACTGTGATAATGCACTCTGGAGTCAAATCTGCAAAAAATGCATGAAACAAATTAGAACTCTCTAGAAGTCTCTATACAATTTATACCTCCAGTATTGGAAATGATGCAAAGATGAAATACATAGCCATATGCATCTCCTTAAACCATACTTAATTTTCACATAAAGACAATATGGAGGTAATAGTTCCACCTAACATGATGGAACTATCCTATGTAGAATGAAAGAGGCACTAATCCCTTCCTCAGAATTTGACTTTCAGGATTTCAACATTCAGGATTCTAATCTGTTGGGATTGTGATTTTGGGGCTTTTAGACTGTAGGAATTTAGACATTAGGGATGTCGATCTTTCGAATTCAGCATTCAAGATCATGGCATTCAGGATGTGTCCTCCAGGATTATAATCCAAACCCACTTTATCACCCCACAAAGAGAGAGGAGAAGCAGCGTTGCGTGCATTCAAGCTAGAGAACTGGAACTACATAAAGCTGAGATCCTTGAGAGTGGGAGGCTGCCATGAAAGGAGAATGAGAAAAATTCTGCCCACTAGCATGTAAGAGGTCAAGAAAGCTGGTATCTGCCTAGAGCACTGAAGGAAAGGAGGAGAGGAGGAGGACTCTCCTAAGGGAAACTGAGACCCTGAGCTTACATTATGCACAGGTTTGAAGTCCATGTGTCACTGAAATCCCTAAACTGCAAAAGTAACATGAGAATTGTTTATAATTGGTTGAGACTTCAGTTGTCTCAGAGACAGCAAAGGCAAAACCCATCCTTAGAAAAAATTTCCCAGCCCAGAGGTTCCTACATTAAAAACTAACAAACACAAATCTTGCCATATAGGAGGTCCCAGTTTAAAAATTTCAAAACACACAAGGAAATATGACACAATGAGTAAAACTCAACAGAGCTATTCCACTCAGTTTTTCTGTGAACCTCAAACTGCTGTAAAAAATAAAGCCTATTTTTAAAAAAAAAAAAAAGCAGAAATGGCAAACTAGATTGGCTTCTCCCAACCCTCACCAAACTTGAGTCAGTAAAATATTATGAAAATGTTTATAAAATAAGACTATTTCAAAAGATTAAAGAAACTAGAAATCATATGAGAAAAGAGAACTTCTAAAAGATTAGGTAAAGGAAAAATAAAACACTTAAAAATATAAAAAGTCACTAAGAGAATAGATGTTAAATGTTCTCACTACAAAAAAAAATGGTAAGAATGTTAGGTGATAGGTTATCCAGCTGGATTGTGGCAATCCTTTCAGAATGTATAGATATATCAAGTTATCATGTACACTGTAAATATATACAATTTTTATTTGTCAATTATACCTCAATAAAACTGAAAAATAAAATTAAAAGGCATTGAAATTAAAAACTCAATGGGCAGGTTAAATGCAAGTTAAACACCTGTGGGGAGAGAATTCGTGAAGTGGAAGATACTTCTGAGGAAATCACCTAGAATGCATCACAGAGATATAAATAATTTTTAAAAAAACCTTGAAGGGCTCAAAAACTGGAGAAAAGAATAAGAGCTGACACACAGCTGATGGGCCTATAGAAAGGAGAACTTTCTGAATGAAGAGGGAGGAGAGGCAATATTTGAGAGATTCGTCATTTTAAAGAAATTATTAAAAATATAAATCCTTGGGTTGAGTAAGTACAAGTAGTTCTGAGCACAAAAAGTAAAAATGAATACATGGGCTGGGCGCAGTGGCTCATGCCTGCAATCCCAACACTTTGGGAGGCCAAGGCAGGGAAATAACTTGAGGCCAGGAGTTCAAGACCAGCCTGGTCAACATGATGAAACCCCATCTCTACTAAAAATACAAAAAATAGCCAGGCATGATAGCACGCACCTATAGTCCAAGCTACTCAGGAGGCTGAGGCAGGAGAATCACTTGAACCCACAAGGCAGAGGTTGCAGTGAGCCAAGATCGTGCCACTGCACTCCAGACTGGGCGACAGAGCAAGACTGACTCAAAAAAAAATGAATACATGGATATACCTCAATAAAAATCATAAAATGTCAAAGACAAAGAGAAAATCTAGTTAGCAACCAGGGAGAAAAGACTAATAACCTAGCAACCAGCTTCCACTTGACGGACCGCAGATGCCTAAAGTGCAATAGAAGAGGTCTGAAGAAAAGAGAATCACATCTTCAATGTGCTGGAAACAAATAATTTTAACTGAACATTCCATGCCCTGTTCAACAAGCATTCCAGAATGAGAGTGAAATGAAGTAATTTTCATTCAAATAGAGCACCCCACACACACACACATAAACACACTGAGAGAACTAGTGAAGAACATAATTCAGAAACAAAGACAGAGTGAGATGCAATGAGCAGGAAAAGTAATAAACATGCAGGGAAATCTAAACCTAGCGACCACAAACTGTTTGAAACAATACTAATGATGAATGGGGATCATTAGAAACAGGGTGGACCTAAAATTAAGACAATAGAACATGCAAGTTGAGGGAAAGATACAATAATAACAGTTACGGAGTTCTGTGGTTCTTTTATTCTGGGGAAAGAAGATGAAAATACTGGCTTTAAAAGTGCATATTAAATTTGTAAAGACTAGGAATAAACTGTATAACTTCAGTGAAAAAGGGAAAGCGAATAACAAAAGTCCAATTAATTCATAGGAGACAGGGCCAGGCGCGGTGGCTCACGCCTGTAATCCCAACACTTCGGTAAGCTGAGTCAGGTAGATCACCTGAGGTCAGGAGTTCAAGACCAGCCTGGCCAAAACATCTCTACTAAAAAAATACAAAAAATTAGCTGGGCATGGTGGCAGATGCCTATAATCCCAGCTACTCGCGAGGCTGAGGCAGGAGAACTGCTTGAACCCAGGAGGCAGAGGTTGCAGTGAGCTGAGATCACACCACTGCACTCCTGGGCAACAAGAGCAACTAGCCTGGGCAACAAGAGGAAAACTCCATCTCAAAAAAAAAAAAAAAAAATTCATAGAAGACAGGAGAGGAAAATAAAGTTAAAGATGAAAACAAAGCATGATAATAAATACAACACACATGTAATGACAGAAATAAATCCAAATTTATTAGTAATCTCAGTTATACATTGACTATGTTTGTATACTGATGAAAATTATCTGTATACTGATGAAAATTATTTGTAAAATGATAAATGAAAAAACATACTAGGCAAATATTAATCAAAAGAGAACAGTTCTAGCTATACTTACATTAGACAAAATAAACAAGACAAAAAGCATTATTAGGGTGAAAGAGGTTATCATGTGATCATGGGAACAATTTCTATCATATATGACAATGAAAATTCACCATAAAGATATTTTTAAAATCCAGAATCTGTATGTTTCTAACAATATAGTCTTAAAACAGAAAAATCAAAAACTGATAGATTTATAAAGAGAAATTTTAAAATCCATATAATAATGGAAAAGTTCACATACCTTCGTTCAGTAATTGATAGATTAAGCAGGGAAAATAAAGATTAGCAAGGACACAGAAAATTTAAGCAACCCAGTTTACATACTTGACCTAATAAACAGTCACAGAACACCCAACAATCAGCACATTCTGATCAGTTGCTAAGCAACAAAAGTGGCCTCAAGAAACACCAAAATAGCCAATCCCACGCAGAGCACAGTCTCTGACCACAGTGAAACAGCACTAAAAATCAATTACAGAAAGACAGTCAACCCTGCAAATGTATTTGAAAATTCAACACTTTAAATAGCTTATGAATTGGAAGAAATCATATTGAAAATTAGAAATTAGAATCAAATAATGATGAATGCATAGCATATAAAAAATATAGGATGAACCTAAAGCAGTACTTAGAGGGAAAGTTATAGCTTTAAATGCAAGTATTAAAAAGCAAGGAAGAGGGCAGGGTGCAATGGCTCACACCTGTAATCTCAGCACTTTGGGAGGCTGAGGCGGGTGGATCACTTGAGGTCAGGAGTTCAAGACCAGCCTGGCCAACATGGTGAAACCTCGTCTCTACTAAAAATACAAAAATTAGCTGGGCATGGTGGCAGGCGCCTGTCATCCCAGCTACTCAGGAGGCTGAAGCAGGAGAATCACTTGAACCTGGGAGCCGGAGGAGGTTGCAGTGAGCCGAGATCGTGCCACTGTACTCCAGCCTGGGCGACAGAATCAGACTGTCTCAAAAAAAAGAAAGAAAGAAAAAAAAAAAAAGCAAGGAAGACTAAAAAACTATGAAACAAGGATCTAACTCAAATTATTATTTGAAGAATTAACAGACTAAATTCCAAAGCCACCAAAGGAAGAAAATGATGATGAGCATATTCATTTGGGGAAACAAATGAAATTGAACCTCTACCTCTCTCCATGCTTAAAAATTAATTCTAGCTGGATTAAGTACTTAAATGACAAAAGTAAAAATTTCACTAGGAAATATAAGTAAAAGTCTTTCCAAATGTAGAGTAGGAAAAGATTTTTTAAAAAAGACACAGCAAACACTAGCAATAAAATAAAAGATTGATAAATTTGACTATATATAAAAAAGTAAGCTCATCAACAAATAACTTAGTGAAACAGAAAGACACATTAGAAACTTGGAGATAATATTTACATAATCTACACTGAATCTGAATCAAGAATACAAAGAACCCCTACAAATCAATAAGAGAAGGACAAACAAGCCAATAAAAATGAACAGGAAAAAGAACTGAAAAGGAAACACACATGAAGAAATGTCTGAAACCATTAGACATAAAGAAAATCAAATAAAGGTCAGAATGAGATTTTAAACTAATTTGGTCTACAAAAATTAAAGTCTGATAGCATTACATATTGGAAAGGATACAAATCAGCAGGATTTCTTATACTTAAAGTGTAATAGTTGGCACAATGGATACAATTCCATTCCTGGCTCTATGTCCAAGAGACAACCTCACTCATGTGTACCGGGAGGCATATATCAAAGTGTTAATAGCTGCAGTATTTATAATGGAAAAACCTGAGATAACTGAATGCCTTTCAATAAGAAATCACATAGGTAATAAGAAATTAGAACCAGGTAAGAGAGAATAGATAAATTGTGGAATATTTACAAAATGGCATATCATACCATGGTGAAACTTAAAAGTACAGTGATATGGTTTGGCTGTGTCCCCACCAAATTTCATCTTGAATTGTAGCTCCCATAATTCCCACCTGTTGTGGGAAGCACCCGGTGAGAGATGATTGAATCATGGGGGGTGGTTTCCCCCATGCTGTTCTTGTGGTAGTGAATAAGTCTCAGGAGATCCGATGGTTTTATAAGGGGAAATGCCTTTTGCTTGGTTCTCATTCTCTCTCACCTGCTGCCATATAAGACATATCTTTGTTCTTCCCTTGCCTTCCGCCATGATTATGAAGCCTCCCCAGCCATGTGGAACTGTGAGTCCATTAAACTTCTTTTTCTTTATAAATTACCCAGTCTCAGGTATGTCTTTATCAGCAGCATGAAAACGGACTAATATATACAGCTACATGCAATAATGTGGATAAAACACACCAGTATAACATTGACTTTAAAAACAAAGTCTCAGAATATTAAGTACAGCAAGATCCCTTTTTATTACATTAAGAACAACTAAAAATAATGTTCTTCTAGGTATATACAAACATATAAGCAAGGAAATAGTACAAAACTGAGAATAGTGTTTACTAGCTGGGGAAGAAAGGTGGAGGAGAGGAGAGGAATAGACAGGTAGCTGTGAGTTATTGGGGTGTCCTTTCTCTAATTCTGGAGAGTGGGTTCATGGGTGCTTACTAGTACAGGCATAACCAAAATAAAACAGGCATGACAGGATGACAGGGAGCCTCTTCTGCCAAGAATTCTGGCTTATCTGGTTCTGAGCACCTGAGGTCTGTTAGAAAGTTAACAACAGAGTAATCAAATAAATAATAAAAGGCTGATTTTTTGAAGAGACTAATAAGAGAGACAAACCTCCAGCATGAGATCAAGGTGAATAAAGGGAAGAAAAACATGGAAATAGTCTTAAAAATATTTTAAAAAAGTAATTACAGTTAAAGTCAAAATTTAAATAACCATTTGAGAATAGGACACATGTGCATATAACATAGGCACATCCTCCTGTGTACTTTACACCATTTATGGACTACTTGCAATACCTAATACAATGTAAATGCTAGGCAAATAGTTGTCATACTGTATTGTTTTTTGTTTGTATTATATTTTATTGTATTGTTATTTTCTAAAAACGTATTCTTGAACTGCAGTTGGTTGCAGATCCAACCACACTGCAGATCCAACCACACTGCAGATCCAGTGTGGACCCCAGGGACAGCGATGGCCAGGAAGGCATGGTCAGTGAATGAAGCATGCCTGGAGACCAATACACGTCAACTTTAGAAGGGGAGTATATTAGTCCATTTTCAACCTGCTGATAAAGACAACCAGAGACTGGAAAGAAAAAGAGATTTAACTGGACTTACAGTTCTACATGGCTGGGGAGGCCTCAGAATCATGGTGGGAGGCAAAAGGCACTTCTTACATGGCAGTGGCAAGAGAAAGTGAGAAAGTAGAAAAAGTGGAAACCCCTGATAAACCCATCAGATCTCGTGAAATTTATTCACTATCACAAGAATAGCATGGGAAAGACCAGCCCCCATGATTCAATTACTTCCCACTGGGTCCCTCCCACAGCACATGGGAATTCTGGGAGCTACAATGCAACATTTGGGAGGGGACACAGCCAAACCATATCATTCTGCCCCAACCCCTCCAAATCTCATGTCCTCACATTTGAAAACCAATCATGCCTTCCCAACAGTCCCCCAAAGTGTTAACTCATTTCAGTATGAACCCAAAAGTCAACAGTCCAAAGTCTCATCCAAGACAAGGAAAGTCCCTTCTGCCTATGAGCCTGTAAAATCAAAAGCAAGCTAGTTACTTCCTACATAGAATGGAGGTACAGGTATTGGGTAAATACAGCCGTTCCAAATGGGAGAAATTGGCCAAAACAAAAGGGTTTCAGGACCCATGCATCCAAAATCCAGCAGGGCAGTCAAATTTTAAAGCTCCAAAACGATCTCCTTTGACTCCAAGTCTCACATCTAGGTCACGCTGATGTAAAAAGTAGGTTCCCATGGTCTTGGGAAGCTCCGCCCCTGTGGCTTTGCAGGGTACAGACTCCTGCCCAGCTGCTTTCATGGGCTGCCATTGTCTGCGGCTTTTCCAGGTGCACAGTGCAAACTGTTGGTGCATCTACCATTCTGGGGTCTGGAGGACAGTGGCCCTCTTCTTATAGCTCCACTAAGTGATGCCCCAGTAGGGACTCTGCCTGGGGGCCCTGACTCCACATTTCCTTCCACACTGCCCTAGCAAAGGTTCTCCATGAGTGCCCCGCCCCTGCAGCAAACTTCTGCCTGGGCATCTAGGCATTTCCATACATCTTCTGAAATCCAGGTGGAGGTTCCCAAACCTCAATTCTTGTCTTCTGTGCATCCTCAGGCTCAACACCATGTGGAAGCTGCCAAGGCTTGGGGCTTGCACCATCTGAAGCCATGGCCTGAGCTCTATGTTGGCCCCTTTCAGCCACAGCTGGAGCAGCTGGGATGCAGGACACCAAGTCCGTAGGCTGCACACAGCTGGGGGACCCTGGGCCCAGCCCATGAAACCACTTTTTTCCTCCTAGGCCTTCGGGCCTGTGATAGGAGGAGCTGCTGTGAAGACCTCTGACATGTCCTGGAGACATTTTCCCCCATCCTCTTGGGGACTGACATTTGGCTCCTCGTTACTTTATGCAAATTTCTACAGCCGACTTGAATTTCTCCTCAGAAAATGGGTTTTTCTTTTCTATCACATTGTCAGGCTGCAAATTTTCCAAACTTTTATGCACTGCTTCCCTTATAAAACTAAATGCCTTTAACAGCCTCCAAGTCATCTCTTGGATGCTTTGCTGCTTGGAAATTTCTTCCGCTAGATACCCTAAATCATTGCTCTCAAGTTCAAAGTCCCACACATCTCTAGGGCAGGGGCAAAATGCTGCCAGTATCTTTGCTAAAACGTAACAAGAGTCACCTTCACTCCAGTTCCCAAAACAAGTTTCTCATCTCCATCTGAGACCACCTCAGTCTGGACCTTATTGTCCATATTGCTATCAGGCTTCTGGTCAAACCCATTCAACAAGTCTCCAGGGAGTTCCAAACTTTCCCACATTTTCCTGTCCTCTTCTGAGCCTTCCAAACTGTTCTAACCTCTGCCTATTACCCAGTTCCAAAGTCACTTCCACATTTTTGGGTATCTTTTCAGCAACATTCCATTCTACTGGTACCAACTGACTGTATTAGTCCATTTTCATGCTGCTAATAAAGACATACGCAAGACTGGGAAGAAAAAGAGGTTTAATTGGACTTACAGTTCCACATGGCTGGGCAGGCCTCAGAATCATGGCAGGAGGTGAAAGGCACTTCTTACATGGTGATGGCAAAAGAAAATGAGAAAGAAGCAAAAGCAGAAACCCCTGATAAACCCATCAGATCTCGTGAGACTTGTTCACTACCATGAGAATAGCATGGGAAAGACCGGCCCTCATGATTCAATTACCTCCGCCTGGTCCCTCCCACAACACATGGAAATTCTGGGATCTACAATTCAAGTTGAGATTTGGGTGGGGGCACAGCCACACCACATCAGAGAGTTACCTCTGCAGAGAGAGGACATGAAAAGGAACTGGGGTGGCTAATTCTTTTTGTCACATGTATGTCTTTAAGGGAAAAAGAAAAGATCTGAGACAAATTTTGCTTAATATCTTGGTAACTGTTAAACCAAAGATGCAAGGTCATCATTGCAAAAGGCAGAATGGCACCATTTAATTCTGCCTTCAAAAATGCACAAGTCTAAAAGGGAGGTTTCAAAAAGAAGTCAATAATTAACTCAAAAATAGGGAGAGGAAATCTCTGAGAGGAAACTGGTGAGCAGCCAGGCGGGGGTTACAGGAATGGGGCAGGCATGGTGGGCACTACTATATTGGATGCTGATGGCATGGCCTCTCTGTTAACTACAGCAGAAGCTGTAGTCACAGAAATTCCTAAAGAAGAGAAGAACCCTGGAATGGGTGGAATGGGAGGTGGTATGAGAGGTGGCATGTTCTAATTCCTAGAATAGTGCTTTACCTTTATTAATGAGCTGTGACAGGAAGCCCAAGGCAGTGTTCCTCACTAATAATTTCAGAGAAGTCAGTTGGAGAAAATGAAGAAAAGGCTGGCTGATGTTTAAGAAATCACTATAACCATCAGTTACTGGTTTCAGTTGACAAAATATATAATGGTTTATTGCTGTCATTGTCCGTGCCTACAGATAATTCATTTTGTACTTTTGAATAAAAAGACATTTGTACATTCCTGATACTGGGTACAAGAGCCATGTACCAATGTACTGTTTTCAAAGTAAGTCACTGAGGCATTTTTACTACTATTCTGTAAAAATCAGGATTTTAGTGCTTGCCACAACCATATAAGAAGTTAAGCGTCTTTCTATGGAGGCCGAGGAAAACCCTGGCTGCCCGCAGTGCAGCTTCCACACTGTGGTCACGAAGTGGAGGAGGGGCCTCCCTCTCAATACAAGTTACAGTTATTCTAAAATGCGATTGTTGTGAAAGCAGGACTAATGAAAAAAATTTACTCACTTTGCCCTCTTAGTAAACTCGGGACAGCTGTTTACATTTCCTCCTCTTCCCTTGCCTGTGTAGACCCAGTTGTGCACGGTGTGCCATTTTGCATTCTGATTTCTTAACAAAGCGTGCTGTCCCCCAGCCGCCGGCGTCTCCGCAGGTGGGGTGCTGTATTTCCTGTCTGTGGGTGGCAGCGGGTGCGGACGGGAGCAGAGAGTTCGCAGCCAGGGAGCTCGGGTGGGCCCAACGCTGTCCGCCCGCAGCGCCAGCCCCGCTGTGCACAGGGTTTTCCTGGTGTCACAGGTAGTTACACCGCGCTTTGTTTTGGTTTGTTTATTTATATTACTGTTTACGACCAACTAAAAACTAAAAGGAGAAAAGGCAGCATATGCAAGAACCAGACAGGAACAAAAGCAGGCGGGAGAAAGTGTGCTTTACCACTGAAAGCAAAACTTCGTCCTGTGAGTTGAGCCCAAAAACTCCCGGGAGCGGCAGAAACGAACGGCCTCCTCCTCCAGGACCATCTTTGTTGCCCTAGCACATCCCTGGCCCCAGGCTGCCGGTATCCAAACAAGACCCGCGCCCCCGGGGGAAGGGGTGGGGGCCTGTCTTTTAGGAAAACCAAGCTGAATCGCCAGAACTGCAAATGTCCAACATTGCTTTTCCTCAGGCAGAAGAGTTAAACAAATGCCTGGTTTTCCTAACTTGTATCACTGTCCTCCAAACGACAGTTACGCACGGGTGAGCTGCCACTGAGGAAGAAGGTGGACCCCCGCCCTCTCGCGCTCTCTGCCTCAGCGCCCGGTGCGGGGTCGGGACGCTGAGTGGGGACCCATGCCCAGGTCGGCCTTGATTGTCTTGCAAAGCGAAAGCAAAGGCACAGGGCACCGAATTCCCTGTGAAGAAGAAAAGGATCAATGGTGGTGGCCAATATTGAGAAACACGGTTCCTCAAACCAAGGCACAAAGCTAAGGTGCTGCCCTTCCTCTCTCCCAAAGAAGCAGAAAGTTGAAACAACATAGAAATTCTTGACAGCCACGATGCTGGTGATATGCATTAGTCAGATTTTTCCTGTCTTAAATTCAGAAACTGCACAAAACAATACAGTAATCTCCGTGGAAGCTGATGCCAGTCTTTTTCCAAATCTGAAACCCACAATGCACACAAGGTGAGATTGTCAGCACATCACACTGTGCTTGGTTGACCATGCTGGGGGCAGGTGGCCATGGAACCAGGAAGGCCATAGGACTACAAGAATTTCTTTTGTTCAGATGAACAATTACCTTCTCAAGCTGCTCACTGCAGACTTCTTTCCATTCTTCACTTCCATCTTTTTATTCCTATTTTTAGTGAAAAATATTTTCTATTTTAAGTTCAGTTTACTTGCTCAGCAAAATGTAATTTTTATTCTCCAGATTAAAACAATTTCAAAATTCTATTCCAAACATTAATTTTAGGATTAAAACATACCCAACAGACTGAAAATGTTAGAGTGTCACTCTGTCTGCAGATAGAGTGATTTTGTTTTCATTTACTTCTGACGCTTGTGCCAATGAGGGTGTAAAATGTACCGTTAGTGTGGCTTGGTGGGCAGGAAGTTACCTCTTCTTCTGCCTTTGCGTAAATGACGTTCCCAGTGATTTAACAGAACAGACATTGAATGGGAAACTGAATTCTAACTTCTGAAAGAACCTTTTGCCATTTGTGTTGTAAAGATTCAGATTTTAAAAATATGTTCTACAATTACTTTCATAAATTAAGTGTTTATAAACTGAGGTTAAAGGAAGTTAAATCAATGTCATTAGATGAAGACAAAATTCCAAGACAACAGAAAAAAAAGTACACGCAAAAAAACTCATAAATACTTGTATACTATTTAGATATATACAATCATACACCACATAATGATGTTTCAGTCAATCATGGATGGAATACACAATGGTGGTCCCAAAAGACTATAATAGAGCTAAAAAATTCTTACCACCTAGTACATCACAGCCCTCAGAACATTGCAGTGCAATATATTATGTGTTTATCTTGATGCTGTTGTAAACAACCCTACTGCACTGCCAGTTGTATAAAAGTGTACAGTAATGTCTTAGGCCTTCACATTCACTTACACTCACTGACAAACCCAGAGCAACTTCCAGTCCTCCAAGCTCCAGTCAGAAGTGTCCTATAGGGGTGTACCATTTGCTATCTTTTATACCATATTTTTTCTGCACCTTTTCTGTGTTTAGATATGTTCAGATACACAAATACCATTATGTTACAACTGCCTACAGCAATCAGTACAGTCACATGCTGTACAGGTTTGTAGCCATATAGCCTAGGTGTGTAGTAGCTGTACCACTGAGGTTTGGATAAGTCACTCTATGAGGCTAGCACAATGATAAAAGTGCCTATGACATGCTGCTCAGAACGTGTCCTCATATCCCTGTCATTAAGTGACACCTGTCTGTATATACATTCATAAGTGGTTGACGACAGGAAAAGGAAGGCCACTGTGAATCAAAAACCACATAGGATAAGAAGGAAAGCATACTCAGATGGGGCAGGTGGCGGCTGCCAAGGTGGGAGTGCTGGCAAGGAGAGGTGTGCTGGGCCCACAGGGTCACTGCATTAGGATCAGCCAAGGATTAGGTCCTCCTTCCCCTGCCCTTGCCATGCAGAGACCTTTGTCTACCCCTGCCCCAGACATTTCTGTGGACACTTCGACAAAGAGGCCTTGCCATGCCCTCAGGGCTGGAATTCACCAGGAGAAATGGGAGCCTTCACCCTACTGAGACTCGCTCCTGGACACCCTCCTCAGCAGCCCAACCCAGCTCTCTCCACAGCGCTGGAGGCAGTGTAGGATCCACAGGATCAACAGGACAGGCAAACAGGGGGTCTCAAATATATCAAACATAGCTAAGACCACCCAAGATCTGAAGAAAACCAACACCACAAAACTCAACCAACTGCAGCACTGGAGGAGGCAAAAGGAGATGGGGAGGATATATCCTATATTTTAGGAGAGCCCAGTGCATCCATGACACAGGACAGAGCATTACGAAAGAAGGACCAAGGGCAAATCCTAGGAGAGAACAGTCGATTGTGAAATTAAAAGAAAAACATCGGGGCATGGGCAGAATATCAGAATGGACACTATTGAAAAGCAATTGAGTGAGTACGAGGATTGAGCTGAAACATTCTTCCAAAATGTACAAAAGCCCAGTTTTACAAGTAGTCTATGAAATGTGCATGTAATTCCTATGTTACAGGAACTCTTCTGAGAACATAAAAAGGTGGAGTATTTCCCAATTTATTTTCCAAGACAAGAACAACTTTCACACATGCATGCATGCACACACACACAGCACAGCAAAAAGTAAAGAAAAAATAACTATACAGCAATTTCCCTTATGATCTGAGAGGTTAAAAATCTAATAAAGTATTAGCCAATTGAAACCAGCAGTATATTAAAAGCGAAATATATCATGACCAAATAGGGGTTCCCCACCTTCATCCCAGGATTAGGAATATTCTAGGAATGATGAGTTGATTTAAAAAAAACAACAACAAAAAAACACTAAATATACTATACTAATCCAATTCAGAAACCTAGTAGATTAAAGAAGTATTGTCATTTCAGTAAATGTAGAAAATGCAACTAAAAAATTCATAATTTGTTTCTAATGAAAACTATTTGTAAGCTAGGAACAGGAAAAGGGTTCTTAACTCATTAAAAGGTGTCAACCAGAAATTTAGAGCACATATGCTTCACACATGCAAAGCATTCCTCATTTAAGTTAGGAAAAAGACACAGATGACCACTCCCATCACCATTCCTGGCAAATGCGGGGCTAGAGGAAGATGGTAGCACAGTAAGAAAAGAATAAGGTTTATAAATACTGAAAAGAAAGAGGCAATCATGTCGTTATTTGTAGATGATCTTTGGTATATCTAGAAAATATGAGAACCAGTTGCTGAAGCTTTAGAACTATAAAGATAATCCAGCAGTAATAAAAATAAGAAAAGTAACATAAAAATGAAACTGCTAACACACACAGCTCTTATTTTTGTGCCAGGCACTATTCTAAGCTCTTTAGACCAACATGACAAATTAAAAAATGTAATGGTTTCAGCAATGTAACAGATAAGATTACCCAAAAGGCCTTCTAAACAAGAAATGTTATTTATAATGTTAAATATAATGTGACAAAAATCCGTTTAACGACATAGCTGAGATCTTAGCAAAGTCAAGTGCCAGGGGCTACAAACGAGAAAGAAACTATAAATAGAGTGGTCCATATTCCCTGAAAAGTGCTGTTCCTGAAATACAGAAGTTTGGATTTAACACCAAGGCATGGGTAGCAGACAAAAATATGGGCTTGCTTTAGAAAAAGAATCAGAACTGAGACCCCCTCATACAGGTATGGCCTCAGAAAAACAGTGGGCTAGAATATTAATAGAATCTACCTCCCGCTACAGAGAAGCTTTGCTGTTTGAGCTGGATTCTTAGTGGGGGACTTATCCTCCCTCATATCTCACCCCACCTCTACACTCAGACAATTCATAACTATAAGTTCACATGAGTTTGAAGTCCAAACTTACATTACCACAAGATCCAAAATATTGAAAGTTAAGAAATTAACAGAAAAAATTGGTCCCAGGCTGATAATAACCATCAGATGCAAGCACATACAAAAACCATGCTGGTGAGAAAGCCCCTTTGAAGATGACTCACCCATCTTTACACACAAAAACGTCACACACACACACACACACACACACACACACCCCCCAATTTACTGTGAGGGAGAGCCAGCAGACACCACAAAGAGCAGGATCAACAGCAAGACCTCCAGCCAGTGCAGTAATCTGATGGAGTCTATGAAACAGTGGTGTTTAAAATTATTATAGCCACAAGAAGAAAAAATAAGAAAAAAGCATTGTAAGACAAAATTGGGAAGCTTAGAGGGGAGGAAGAAACAATTTTAGAAATAAACATTATGATTATAAAATTAAAAATTCAGGCTGGGCACAGTGCCTCATACATGTAATCCCAGTGCTTTGGGAGGCCAAAGCAGGAGGATCACTTGAGCCAAGAGTTCAAGACTGGCCTGGGTGACACAGCGAGACTCTGTCTCTCTGAAAAAATTTTCAAACTTCAGCCAGGTGTGGTGGCATCTGCCTGTAGCCCCAGCCTCTTGGGAGGCTGAGGCGGGAGGATCACTTGAGCCCAAGAGTTCGAGGTTGCAGTGAGCTATGGTCAAAAGTTTGCAGTGAGCTATGATCTGAGCTATGATCGTGCCACTGCACTTCAACCTGGGCAAAAGTGAAACTATGTCTCAAAAAATAATAATAAAAATTCAATGGATAGCTTAACCAGAAAGTTAGAAATAAAAAGTTCCAGAAGGGTGAAAGCAAATGAGGAGAGGCAGTATTCAAAGAAATAATGGCTACAGTCTTCCAGAACTGTTGAAGGACATGAATCCTTAAATTCAGGAAGCACAGGCTCCATACAGGATAAAAATAAATCCACATATCTCTGAGGACTGAACCAGAAGGGGAAAAACACCCATAAATCAGAGTGAAACTGCAGAACACCAATGACAAACAGATGATAACCACAAAGGAATAACTTTGAAAAATTTATGTGGAAAAAAGACACATAAATCATAATGAAACTGCAGAACACCAATGACAAACAGATGATATCCACAAAGGAACAACTTTTAAAACAGACAAAATAAACAATTTTCTAGAAAAATCTTACCAAAATAGACTGAAAGCAATATTGAACACCTGAAGATATTTTTTAAAGTGTACAAATCAGCAGCCTTTAGTACATTCACAATGTTGTGCGATCACCACTTCCATCTGGTTCCAAAGCACTTTCATCACCCCATAAAAGAACCCTATACCCATTAAGAAATCACTCCCCAGCTGGGCGTGGTGGCTCACGCCTGTAATCCCAGCACTTTGGGAGGCCGAGGCGGGCAGATCACAAGGTCAGGAGATCGAGACCATCCTGGTTAATATGGTGAAACCCCATCTCTACTAAAAAAATACAAAAAAAATTAGCCGGGCATAGTGGCGGGCACCTGTAGTCCCAGCTACTTGGGAGGCTGAGGCAGGAGGCCGAGGCAGGAGAATGGCGTGAACCTGGGAGGTGGAGCTTGCAGTGAGCCAAGATCGTGCCACTGCACTCCAGCCTGGGCAGCAGAGCAAGACTGTCTCAAAAAAAAAAAAAGAAAGAAAGAAATCACTCCCCATCCCCCTCCCCACCCCAGCCTCTCACAACCATTCATCTGCTTTCTGTCTATAGAATTCCCTGTTCTGTGTATTTTATATAAATGGTATCATACAATATATGTTATCTTCTGTGTCATCCTTGTTGCATCAGTACTTCATCCCTTTTGTGGCTGAGTAATATTCCACTGTGTAGATAGACCACATTTTGTTTATCTATTCATCTGTCAATGGACGCTTCAACTGTGTCCACATTTTGACCATTGTGAATAGTGCTACTATGAATATTCACATACAAGTATTTGTTTGAGCACCAGTTTTCAGTTTGTGGAATATTCCACAAAGTATAATTGTTGGATCATATGGTAATTGTATGTTTAACTTTTTGAGGAAACACCAAACTATTTTTCACAGTGGTTGCACCATTTTACATTCTCACCAGCAATGTATAAAGGTTTGCTTATCCATGTCCTTGTCAACATTTGTTATTGAGTTTTAAAAAAATTATTATAGTCATGCTAGTGACTGTGAAGTGGTACCTCATCACAGTTTTGACTTGCCTTTCCCTAAAGACTAATGATGTCAAGCATCTTTTCATGTGCTTTTTGGCCATTTGTATATCTTCTTTGGGAAATGTCTATTCAGATTCTTCAAGCATTTTTAATTGGGTTGTCTTTTTGTTAAGCTCCCAATTTATCTTGCACCTTATGTTAATTATTTATTAACAACTGTACTGAGATATAATTCATATACCATATAACTCATTTATTTCAGTAGTACAATTCAGTAGCTTTTAGTATACTCAAAGATACATGCAACCATCACCACCTCAATTTTACATTTTCATCATCTGAAAACCTAAAAATCACCTCCAAACCCCCAACTTTTTAACTATTGTCCCCACTTATGACCCTTTAAGCAACCTACTTACCACTCTTTCTTTAAGCAACCACTAACCTACTTCCTGTTTCTATAGATTTCCCTATTCTGGACTTTTATATGGATGGGATCATAGCATGTGGTCTTTCATGACTTTTTCACTTAGCAGGAAATTTTAGAGGTTCATCAGTGTTATAGCATGTATCAGTGTATCCGTCCTTCATTGCTTTTTGGGGCTGAATAATATTCCATTGTATAGATATACTGCATTTTAAAATCCATTCACCTATTGATGTATATTTGAGCTGTTTCCACTTTTTGGCTATTACGAACAATGCTGCTAGAGATTCATTTACAAGTTTCTGTGTGGACATAAGTCTTCATTTCACTTGGTTATATACCTAGGAGAGGAATTTCTAGGTCATAGGCTAGCTCTGTGTTTAATCATTTGAGAAATTGCAACTGTTTTCTAAAGTGGCTGCACCATTTTACATTCTCACCAGCAGTATCTGTGGCTTCCAATCTCTCTACAATCTCTTGTCAACACTTGTTACTATCTTTTTTATTTTAGCCAACTTAGTGGGTGTGAAGTGATATCTCATTGTGGTTTTGCTTTGCATTTCCCTGATGACTAATGATGTCAAGCATCTTTTCATGTGCTTATTGGCCATTTTTATATATTTGGGAAAATGTCTAATCAGATCCTTTGTCCATTTTTAAAGTTATTTCTGAGTCTTTATTAGATATGATTCACAAATATTTTCTCCAATTCTGTAGGTTGTCTTTTCCCTTTCTTGATGGTATCCTTCAAAGCACAAAAGCTTTAAATTTCAATGAAGTCCAAATTCTCTTCTTTTGCTGCTTGTGTTTTTAATGTCATATCTTAGAATGCTTGCCAAGCCCAAGTTCATGAAGATTTACCCATTTTCTTCTAAGAGTTTTATAGGTTTTGCTTTGATAGTTAGGTCTTTTTTTTTTTTTTTTTTTTTTTTTTGAGACAGAGTCTCACTCTGTCACCCAGGCTGGAACGCAGTGGCACAATCTCGGCTCCTGGGTTCAAGTGATCCTTCTGCCTCAGCCTCCCAAGTAGCTGGGACTACAGGTGCACGCCACCACGCCCAGCTAATTTTTGTATTTTTAGTAGAGACAGGGTTTCACCATATTGACCAGGCTGCTCTCAAACTCCTGACCTTATGATCTGCCCACCTCAGCCTCCCAAAGTGTTAGGATTACAGGCGTGAGCCACCGCGCCTGGCCTCTTTCATCTATTTTAACTTGTTTTCTTTTTTCTTTTTTTTGAGATAGGGTCTTGCTCTGTCACCCAGGCTGGAGTACAGTGGCATGCTCATGGATCACTACAACCTTGACCTCCTGGGCTCAAGTGATCCTCTCACCATAGCCTCCTGAGTAGCTGGGACTACAGATGCACATGACCATGACCAGCTAACTTGTTTTTTCTGTAGAGACATGACTTTGCCATGTTGCCCAGGCTGGTCTGAAACTCCTGGACTCAAGCAATCTGCCCCTTTGCCTCCCAAAGTGCTAAGACTACAGGCATGGGCCGTCATACCCAGCCAACTTTTTAAATATAATGTAAGGTAAGTGTCCAACTTCATTCTTTTGCACGTGACTATCCACTTGTCCCAGCACCATTTGTTGAAAAGACTGTTCTTTCCCCACTGAATGGACTTGGCACCTTTACTGAAAATCAGTTGACTACAGATGTTTGCATTTATTTCTGGAATCACCATTTTTTAAAAAAATACAATGATCTATGTCTACCCTTGTGCCAGTAACACACTTCTTAATTACTATTGTTTTGTAATTCAAAATGAAGAAATGTGGGTTTTTCTACTTTATTCTTTTTCAGGATTTCTTTGGCTATTCTGGGTCCCTTGAAATTTCATATAACTCTTAGCATCAGCTTGTCAATTTCTGCAAAGATGTCAGCAGAGATTCTGACAGGGATTATGCTGAATCTGCAGACAAGTTTGAGGAATATTGTCATCTTAACAGCATTAACTCTTCTGATCCATGAACATGGCATGTTTTTCCATTTATTTAGGTCTTCTTTAATTACTTTCTGCAATGTTTTGTAGTTTTCAGAGTGTAAGTTTTGCACTTTTTGTTAAATATGTTATTAAGCACCTTATTCTTTTTGATGCTATTATGAATATTCTTAATTTCATTTTTGATTATTCATTGCAAGTGTGTAGAAATACGATTTTTTTTTTTTTGAGATGGAGTCTCGCTTTGTCACCCAGGCTGGAGTGCGGTGGCACAATCTTGGCTCACTGCAAGCTCCGCCTCCCAGGTTCATGCCATTCTCCTGCCTCAGCCTCCCAAGTAGCTGGGACTACAGGCACCCGCCACCACGCCTGGCTAATTTTTTGTATTTTTAGTGGAGACAGGGTTTCACCGTGTTAGCCAGGATGGTCTTGATCTCCTGACCTCATGATCCACCTGCCTCGGCCTCCCAAAGTGCTGGGATTACAGGCGTGAGCCACCATGCCCGGCCCAACTGATTTTTAAATACTGATGTTGTATCCTCCCATCTTGCTGAACTCACTTATTAGTTTCAATAGTTTTTTTTTTTTTTTTTGGTGGATTCCCTAGAATCTTCTACATACAAGATCATGTCATTTGTGAACAGTCTTTCTTCTTCCTTTCCAACCTTTATTTTCTTCTTGCATAATTGCAATGGCTTAGACCCTCCAGTACAATGTTAAATAGAAGTGTGATAATGGGCATCCTTGTCTTATTTCTAATCTCAGTGGGAAAGCATTCAGTTTTTCACCATTAAGTATAAAGAAAGCTGTAGATTTTTCATAGATGTTCTTTATCAGGTTAAGGTAGTTTCCTTCCGTTCCTCGTTTTTCAAACATTTTTATGATGAAAGGGTGTTGGATTTATTCAAATGCAGCTATTTTTGCATCAGTAGAGATGACTTTTTTATTATATTGATATAATGTATTACATTGATTTTCACATGTTAAGCCAATCTTATATCCCTGGGATAAATCCTACTTGGTGATGGTGCATAATTATTTTTATATGTTGCTGGATTTGGTTTGCAGCATTTAGTTGAGGATTTTTGCAGGTATTTCATAAGACATATTGGTCTGCAGTTTTCTTGTAATATCTTTGAGCAGTTTTGTTATCAGGGCAATACTGGGAAGTACTCCCTCCTATTTCTTGAAAGAGTTTGAGAATAATTGCTATAATTTATTTGATTGTTTGGTAGAACACAGTGGTAAAACTGTCTGTGCCTGGACTATTCTTTGTGGGCAATTTTCTGATTCCTGGTTTAATCTGTTCACTAGTTATAGGTCTATTCAGATTGCCCATTTCTGTAAGGTTGGTAGTAGTGTCTACTCTTTCATATCAGATCCTAGTAATTTGAGTATTGCCTTTTTATTGGTCAACCTAGTGAAATATTTGTCATATTTATTGATCTTTTCAAATTACCAGTTTCTAGTAATATTTTCTCTATTGTTTTTCTATTCTTTCATTAATTTCTACTCTAATTTTATTATTTCCTTCCTTCTGCTTGCTTTAGGTTTAGTTTGTTCTTCTTTCTTCAGTGACTTAAGGTGGAAGAAAGGTTATTGCTTTATTTCTTCCTTAATACAGGCATTTACACCTATAAATTTCCTCTAAGCACTTTTTTAGCTGCATCCGTACAGTTTACTTGTGTCTTAATTTTCATTAGCCTCAAAGTGCTGATTACCTTCTTGTTTTCTTCTTTGGTCTATTGGTCATTTAGTAGTGTGTTGTTCAATTTCCTAATTGTGAGTTCTTCAAATGTTCCCATTTTTTATTTCTAATTTAATCCTGTGATTATGTTCACAAAATGCACTTTGCATTATTTCTATCCTTTTAAACGTATTGAAGTTTCATGGTCTAGCATAAGGCCTATCCTGAAGAATGTTCTATGAGCATTTGATAATGTATATGCTGTAGCGCTTGGGTGAAGTGTTCTATAGATGTCTGTTAGGGCTAGTTGGTTTACAGCGTTGGTCAAGTTTTCTATTTCATTGTTAACCTTGTGTCTAGTTTTGTCCATTACTGAAAATAGGTTATGGAGTCTCCAATTATTATTGTGACCATTTTCTTCTTCCATTTCTGTCAGTTTTTGCTTTCTGTGTTTTGATACTGTTAAGTTCATACATATGTTTACAACTGTTATATCTTTTTGATGGGTTAACCTTTTTATCATTATAAAATGTCTCTATCTCTAGGAGCATTTTTGTCTTAAAGTCTACTTTGTCTGACACTAGTATAGCCAGTCCAGCTTTCTTATGGCAATTGTTTGCACTATTTCTTTTTGTATCCTTTTAATCTATCTGTGTCTTTGAGCCTAAAGTGTGTTATCTATGGGAGCATAGATAACATAGAGTTGGAATGTATTTTTAATCCAATCTGATAGTCTCTGCCTGATTAAATTCATTAACATTTATTATTGATAAGTTGAATACACATTACTTTTTGTTTTCTAGTATCCATTGTGTTCTTTTCATTCTCTTTTAATATTGCCTTTTGCATCGAGTATTTTCTAAGGTAGTATTTTAATTTGATTAATGATTTTTCAACTATATTTCTGGAGTTATTTTATTAGTGGTTGCTCTAGTGTTTACCATATACATCTTATCAGAATCTGTTAGAATTACACAAGCTTAACTCCAATAATATATAGAAGCTTTACTCTTATATAGCTATATTCCCTTTCCCCCTTTTTGTGATATTTTAGGTATACATATGGTATCTATTAATGTTACAAATCCAACACATTGTTATAATTATTACTTTACCATCTGCCATCATTTAATTAGTCTACTACAGCTTTGCTCCCAGCCACCTCCTTTGTGCTGTTTTGACAAATGTTACATATATGACATTTCTGTATGTTATAGACCAATACATCATATACGTATTATTTGATACAGTTGCATTTTAATCAGTTAAGAGGAGAAAAATATGCATTTATGTGACTTTTATAATTATATAATTGCTTTTACTGGTGCTCTTCTCTTGCTTTCAGCCTAAAGAACTTCATTTAATACTTCTTATTAGGCAGGTTGGTTAACAACAATTTTTCTGTTTTTGTTTATCTGGGAAAGTATTTCACTTATATTTTTGAATAATACATTTGCTGGATATAGGATTCTTGGTTGACAGTTTTTTTTTCTTCAAGCACTTTGACTGTTATACCTGCCTTCTGGCCTCCATTATTTCTTTTGAGAAGTCAAGTATTAATTTTGTTCTCTAAGTGATGTATCTTTTTTTCACTCACTACTTTCAAGGTTTTCTCATCTTTGATTTCAGCATTTTTGACTATGATGTGTCTGTGAATCCCTCTGCATTTATCATGCTGGAAGTTCACTAAGCTTCCTAGATGTTTTTCAATCAATTTGGAGAGTTTTCAGTCATTGTATCTTTAAATATTTCCTTTTTCTTCTGCTCTTCTTGTACTCCCATTACATGCATACTTAATGGTGCACATAATGGTGCTTCACATTTCTCTGAGGTTTTGCTCATTTTTCATTTTTTTTCTCTCTGTTCTTTGGAAAGCATATCTCTCTTATTCTATCTGCCAGTTGGCTGACAATTTCTTCTGCCAGTTCAAATCTACTATTGAACCCCTTTAGTGCATTTTTTCCTTATTATAGTTTTTAACTTCATGAATTTAGCTCTTGCCACTTGAAGCTGGAGGGGATAAGAAATGCTGGCATCTTGCCCCTCCCTGTGAGGTACCATACCTCTGGACAGGGAGCTGAGGGAGACGGAGCTCTGTTTTCTTGGCTGCACCCACTGAAATGGGAGGGAGGGAGTGAGTGTGTTGTGGCTGAAATGTCTGACTCACTGTTCTTACCAAGATTTGGATTTTCTTGAATAAGCGTTACTTTATTCTACATGCTTTTAGGACAATTTCCAGTGGCATTAAGTGTTTGTGTCTCTCTGTATGAGAGGAAGGTGTTTATTTTTTGTTACAATTTTCACTAGTTATAGCTAATTCCTAGGACAGTGGGTCCACAGGGCCCTTCACATTGCCATTCTGGAAGTGAAAATCTAAAAGATATTTCAATGTTAGAAAATTTAACTGTGTACTTTACTACACCAAGAAAAGCTATACAATTATATCAATATATACCAGAAAAGACTTTGAGGACAATCATTCTACCATTTGTGATAATCAATTATGATACCACAATGATAAAAACAGTGGGTTACTAAGCAAAGTTAGATAAATGGACCAATTTAACAGAATGCAGAGCCAAGAAACATTTCCGTACATTATATGTAAATTGGTAAAGGTGGCCTTATACATCAGGAGGAAAATAATAAACTATTTTTTAAAGGTGCTAGGGAAACTAGCTATCCATATGGGATTAATAATTCATAAGAATGTATTCATGACCCTAGCTAGGGAATGGTTCTTAAATAAACAAAAAAAAATGGAAAGACTGAATTTACTATATTTTAAAACTTCCGTATGATAAACATCACAAAATAGATATGTGAATATGCTAATTCTCCATATTTTTATGTAAGTTAAAAGACTCACAACCAAAACTAAAAATCTATAAAACACCTAGGAATAAGCCTATTATGAAATGTGCAAGACATTTATGAAGAAAGTTATTAAAATTTCATCCAAGAATATAAAAGACTTTAATAAAATGAGGCCTATCATAACACTAATCAGAAACATTATATTAATTATAAAGAGGTCTATTATTCTCAAATTAATGTGTAAACAAATGCAATCCTAGTCAAAAGAACACCACAATTTTACTGGAATTTAATAAACTAATTCTTGATTCAGCTGGAACAGAAAACACCCAAGTATAAGACACTGAAGAGGGGGAGAAAGGAAAAGGAACTTGCCCATGAATGGCAAAACACAATGCAAAGCACCAAATGACAGCGTGAGGAGTGTGGTTGGTAGAACCAACACCTGGATCCACAGGACAGAAATAGACAACTTAGCATGTGATGAGTTGAAAGCTGACATTTTAAACTGGTGGAGAAAAGAATATTTGTTGATCATTGGAATAACTGCCTTTTTGTTTTTGTTTAGGGGAGCAATCCTAAAAGATAAACAACCCACAGGAAAACTAGGCCAACATAACACTAATAGGCAATGTACGGTAGAGATCTACAAATGGCCAATAAACATGGAAATGTTTGATTTTGTACGTAATCAGGGAAATTCAAGTGAAAACAAGGTACTTTCAATCACGAGACTGGTTAAAACAAAACAAAACAACCTATCGATATTGATACCACTTACTGTTGGCAAGGGTTTGGAGAAATGGGTCCTTTTATGGAGGGTGAATTGATGCAAGCAATTCTGCTACATCCACTGACATTTAAAATCTACATCATTAATCCAACAATTCTGTGCAGGCAGAGCTATACTTACAGGAATAGAAATGTCTTGCATATAATATTAAATGAAAAGTTAGTTGCAAAATAAGGATGGTATAAGGCCATTAATATAAATTACATATTTAAAGCAAACTAATTGCTATAATAGACTTCAAAAGACAGTAGCTTAAGCAAGTCAGTATTTTATTTTACTCTTAAATAACAGGTCAAAGGAGAGCAGTTCAAGACTGGCAGGCCAACTTCTCCTTCCTCAACACATCACTTCCATCTCTTGAGATGCCAGGTCACTACTGAAGCTCCCATTGGCCTCCCAGCCAGCAAGAAAGGGGAATGTCAAGGAGAGTGCATACCCTGCTTCTTTAAAGGGCCAATTGGGAAGTTTAAAACTTAGTCATATGGCCACAATTAACTATAAGAGAGGCTGAGAAGTAGTCTTAAGCTGAGCAGCCAGACGTCCAGGTAAAACTCAAAAATTTTATTAGTAAAGGAAGAATGGGAAAATGACATTATAGCAGCAGTCTGTGTCATGTGATTCTCTAAATGCATGGAGAATACACACCAAACCTAGGGCTGTACTTAGCTGTGGAACAGGTGCAAGATGGTGTGGGGGTGGGGAGGCAGACTATTGCTTGAACATTTTTAATGGTGATAGTATTAACATTTAATTTTTTGACAAAATTTTAAAATCCTTTATTTGTGCTGATAAAGCATGTTAAATACATTAAATCTATTTACACTGTACAAAGCTTTTAAAGTTCTAAAAATCAGATTTTTATCTAAATGAATAAATTTCTCTGTATTGTTAAAACCATTCTACTTAACTGCATTGTTCTCCAAGTCCCTCCAGCCAGGAGGCACGGTAACAATGTGTCAGATCTCCACACTGAGACACCACCTTCCCAAGATCATGGTACATCAGCAGCAGAACTGAGACAAAAACTGGAACAAGGACCACCTTGCTCCTACTGCATTATAGCTTTTGATAGTATTTGCTACTTGAAGAGGAGGCTATACCTTGTCTAGCTCAATACAGTTTATGTTTCAGACACTATAAGTATGATACCCAAATGCTTCATGAGTGAACAAGGTCAGCAGATCACCCTGAGAACAAGGAAGACACAATTTCCTTATAGGCTAATGATTATAAAAATAGAAATTAAGAGCTCCCCAGAAACAAACCACTTAGTCAAAAAGGAAGGAGTTTTGACTTTCTTCTAAGCCAAGTACTCAAGTTTAAGACTTATTGGCCTATTTAAAAATTCTTTCTATGACTTCTAAACAATGATGGCAAAGTGACAAAAATAATGTAATCATCTTCTTCCCTCATTATATATAAACCAAACTAAAAACAAAAGAAATGAACAAGCTATAATCCAAAAAAAACTAGAAAATCCTGACAGGAATCATATAGAACATCTCTAAGAAAAGGATTCTTGGCTTAAGCAAAATATTAGAGCAGAGAAAGCAAAACTCATGTCCTCTCATGCAGTCCGGCAAGGCCCCCCTGCCCAGAACCCTCCTCTCTGAGTCACATGGATGAGCAGACAGAAGATCTGGACACAGCTATCCATGTTAAGCATGAGAGAGATGTAAAGAAATAGCAGGGTAGGAGGGCAGGCATACTACAGAAAAATGAGAGAGAGGAAAAGAGCATGCCAGAGAATACAAATCCAAGAAACAAACTGCACTAAGACAGCTAAGAAGAAATTTCAGGAATACGATGAATTTCGGAAAACAACACTTCAAAGATGAGATGATAAAATCATCCTGAGAAGGAAACAAGAAAAACATGGGTAAGAAAATAAACTGAGGATCAAAGCAACACCATCACAGAACCACAAACACATAAACAGTAGTGAGATACAAACAGCCTTGGCTGGAATCCAAACCGCAGAAACAAGAAAGCCCGTCGCAAGGAATGCAAAGGCAGGCGCAAGACGAAGGCAACTGGAGAGAAGACAGCCTGCCAGCCTGCAGACAAGAGAGGCCTGGAGTGGTGTCACTTCATGGTAACAACGGCTGGGTCTGCTGTGGGCTGCAGTGATGTTTGTGTGCATGCATGTGTGTGGTTTTTATGTACCTACTTTTGGCTTTAATTTGATTTTTTTTAATGATAACACATTTTGTGACTGTAGGAGAGAAAAAGATGCCCTCTGCTTAAAGGAAAGCCAGGGTAAACTGAATACCCTACAGCTTTCCACAAATACATGTCTTATCATTTATTACCATACTATTTCATGCTTTACTAATAAAAATACTCACCAATTTACCAGTACCTTGAAAAGAGGATCTTTCCAAGAAAATTAATATAATTATCAAACAACAAATAACAAACCTGACCTTTGTGGGTGGCAAATGGTAAATATAAATGTTTAAAGTTTAAGCATCAAAATAATGCTGTTATCAGATATTGATGAACTTATTGAACAGGTCTGACTGAATGTAAGACCTGTTTTTAGCACCAATAAAAAAAAATATTGAGATTTCTGTTCTGCAAACTTCTAACTGTGCTCCCTGACAGCATCTTTTGGGTAAAGGAACAAATGTGCTCCAAGGAGTAACTGTTAGGTACCTGATTTACAATATAATTAGATTGCCAAAAAAAAAAAAATCAATCCAAGTATTTTCTCCTTTAGCTAGCATTATTAAAACTTTTAACTTTCAGAGAAGAGTTTCTTCTTCCTTAAAGTTTTAATTCTGAGGTAGACATCATGCAAACAAACATCAAGTGCAGCCAACTTCCATTGACAAACATGATTATTAATAATAAATTAATAATCAGAAATGCCCGTTAGAAAAAGGGACTTGAAAGTTTAGGAAGCAATGTTGTTTAGCAGTATTCTGGCTTGAGTTTCCAAATTCCTTCACCACCAGAAGTTCTATGGAAAGTGCACAGATTTCTCAATAGTTCTCGGAAGACACAAGACTGTGATGCAGATAACTTGGATTCAAACTCCTGCAGTATCTCCCTGGTGCTGGCCTGGCCATCAGTGTGGGCCTGGAAAGCGATGAAGTTTCTCATCTCCACCAGAAGGTCATCGTGTTCTGTGGTGGGCAGCAGGGCAGAAGCTTCCTGCAGGTGCCCGCTTTCACTTTCTAAACGCTCTGGCAGAATCAGGTGGTTTCTAGCTCTCATTTTAGCCAAGAGTGAGGAGGAAGCGAGGGGCCCGGATGAAGAGTCTGCATCTTCTGCTCTTCCACTAAAATGCTCAGGGACATTATCTTTTCCCTCCTTTTTCATGATGCCATCCTATAAAAAGAAGACCACTATACTGATATATTTAATTTCTAGTTTATGCCCCCACTTCCTTCCCCAAAGGCTGTGAAGGGTCACAAGACAACACATGTGCCAGGGTGGTGAGGTTGACAGGGTGAGACTGAGACTCCACCTAATGAAAAGGGAAAGGAGGAGGGTCTGGTATCTAAATCCTCCCACTGTTAAGAGACCGTTTCCTAAAAAAAAATAAAGAGGGGGCAACCAAGCCATTCCCTTAGTCACCACCACTCAACATGGTGGTGGACAGGAAGGCAGAGTGGAGGCTTCCAGGCAAGGTTTCAGGAAAATCTGTCTCTAGGAGGCCCAGGACCACTTTCAGTACCTGTGGGCTTTTCCTGTTCTTCCTCTCAAATGGACCCTGTACACTGTGGATAAGGAACAATATCATAGCTATACTTCCTTTTCTTCACTTTTAAGTCTTCTTACTCTTTCCTACCTTACATCTAATGCAACTTGCCTTAAAAAAACACAAATCTAACTCTGAAAGGGTCTCAAATCCCTACTGCTAAAAGCACAGAACATGGGAAGTCAAAAAGGTACTAGTATTCCTAAACATGTTCACATTAACTTAAAATTGGAGTCTGAATCTGGGAGTTTTAACATAATCCTTAATCAGAAAGACCAGAAAGACTTCCACTGAATGGTGGAATCTGGACTAGTTTTAACCACAGTAGCACTCAAGGCAAGCAGGGCATTCTTGAGCAGAGAAAGACAGGCACTCTGCTCTAGCAGCCAGTGAGTTACAGACACCAACATTCAAGGCAGTTTTCTGGACTTTTATTTCAGAGGGTTGTGGTCTCTGGAGCTGGCACTTTCCCTCTAGACAAGGCAGGCTGTCCTAGCAGCGACACACCTATCCCTGTGTCAACCTTCTAATGGCAAAACAGAAATGCTGCTACGGATCTTGGGTTAAAGACTTTGTCTTTAGGAAATCAGCAGGTCCTTTTAGATTCAAGTGAATGTGCATCGTAAATCAGAGCGTGCAACACAAATATCAGGTGTCATTACACCAGAGATGACCATTTTCTTCACATCCAGAATCAGGTGAAATTTTCACAGCATTCAATCAAGCAAGTCTCACCCTGGAAAGCAAAAAGGTTATCTATATTACCTGGCACTTCTCTGTTGGAGATGTTGATGAAGGATGCTGCACAGAGAAGTTAGAATTCCTTTTCTTACCAAATCTACTCCTAAAAAAGGAAAAGCATCACAGTAGATTAAATGTTTGCTTTTGAGACTTAGAGATCAAAATATTCTTTCAACAATGAACTTCTTCCTGGAAACATTTCCATCTGCATGCTTATTCTTTCACAGCCATGCCATTTCTGCTCTATCCCCCTCGATTCTTCCACTCCACCCTCCTAGAAAGTAACTGCTGGCTGGGCGCAGTGGCTCATGCCTGTAATCCCAACACTTTGGGAGGCTGAGGCAGGCAGATCACTTGAGGTCAGGAGGTCGAGACTAGCCTGGCCAACATGGTGAAATCCCGTCTCTACTAAAAATACAAAAATTAGCCTGGCATGGTGGCGGGAGCCTGTAATCCCAGCTACTCAGGAAGCAGAGAATGCAGTGGGCCAAGATCACACCACTGCACTCCAGCCCGGGCGAAAGGGCGAGACTCCATCTCTAAAAAAAGAAAAAAAAAAAGGAACTGCTGCATCTCAGAATGAGAACCACTCAGTATCTTGTTCAAAAGATGATGGGAACCATTCTCAATTCCAAGTAGGAAAATCATTCTAAAAGAGCATACTGAATAGCAAAGTAATTAATGTGTGCTGTAAACTGGCTAATTATCTCATTAAGGTTTAATCATTATCCTGTATCTCTTACTATTTTTAACAACACCATCTCTCAAATAAAACCAATCACTTCTCCTGAAGCCACTTTGGAAAACAGGGGATGAAAGCAAGGAGGAAGGCAAAGTTATAACAGTATTTCTCCAAGTCACCCAGATTTTGCTGCTATAATCCCTCCCTGGGGATTTATTCCTGAAGAGAAATAACAGTATAAGCCTCCACACCTGCCCTGATTTTATTTCTAGCCTTAGTTGTTTGGACTCCTTGCAAGTATGGCATGCAGCAATCTCTTACTTTTTTCCTGCTGGTGCACCAGAAATCCCCCTGTGGCCAGTCCAGGTGGGAACACCAGACACTGCTCCCAGACACCGCTGACGAGAGAGCCTCAGTGCTTTCAGGGCATCCTGGGCCACTCGGTTGGCTTCTGCCTCCACCAGTACATAATCTGGGCTGGCTCCATCCATGATGGCATCGTGCTTCATGACACTGTGCACGCCAACTAGCAAGAAAAGAAATAGCAAAGTGATATTTCACTCTGTATGCAAGAAAGACACTTTTCTCCTCTGTATAAGTACAGTACTGTAGTAGACAAAAACAAAGTGATAGTACACTTAGAAAACCCTAGAGAATCAATGATAAAAAATAGTAAGATAATTCAAGCAACATAAAAAATATAAAATTCACACACAGAAACCTATAACCTTCCTATTTACAAACAATAGCCAGCTAAAAATATAATGGTGGGAAAATTCTATTTACAGTAACAGAAAAGACCAAACACTTAGGAATAAACCCAAGCAATGTGTAAAGCCTATATGGAGAAGACATGAAAACACTCCTGGGAAGATAGACTATCAGACTTAAACAAACAGAAAGACATCCCTTGCATTTGAGTAGAATGACTCAATAACCATTTTCCCTGAGTTAATTTATATGTTTAATGTAATCTCAATAAAAATGTCAACCTTTCTTATGAAGCTAGACAAACTGACACTAAAGTTCATACAGAACAATAAACCTTCATGAACAGATCAGAAAACACTGAAAAGGCAAAGTAACACCCTATTGGACAATAAAACACGCTCCAATTACAACAGTTTGGTGCTGAGGAAAGAAGAGACACAACAGGAGATTGACCAGAAAATAGAAATAGATTGAACTGCATTTGGAAATGTACTACATGATAAAGGCATCTCTAATCACTGAGAAAAACTTATTTGAAATAAATGATGCTACAAACGTTGGGGCACAAACGTTGGGGCATTTTATCTTTGAACCAAGATAAAATCCACACCTCATACTCCAAATGGATCAGAAATCTGAATGTAAAAAGCAAAACCATACAAGTAGTACAAGAAAACATGGCGAATTATCATATGATCTATATGTAGAAAAGGCTTAGAACTACAATTCCAATTAATAAAAGACTGACAATTTTTTTAAAAAAAAACCTGTTTCATAGGAAAAAAATCATAATAAAGGACAACCAATGAGGAAATACTTGTAACATATATGAAAAATGAAAAGCTAACATCCCTAATATATAAAGAACTCTTTAAAACCAAGGGGAAAAAGGGACCAAAAACCTGATTTAGAAAATGGACAAAAGACATGAACAGACAAGTTCACAGAAAGAAAAATTTTTTAAATATAAATGGTCCTATAAAAAGTTCAATTTCACTCAAAGAAAATAACTGGAAATTAAAACTTAAGATATCCTTTCTCACCTATCAGATTGGGAAAAATTAAAAGTGTAACACCACACTCTTGACAAGCCTCTGGGCAACAACTGCTCGTGACAATTCAAATTGATCTAAACCTTACAAAAGGGAGTTGGGCATTATTCAAACAAACAAACAAAACAAACTTACATATGTGTTTACCTTTTGATCTAGCAATTCCTCTTGTATAAGCACAGGATTATTTAGTGCAGCACTGTGGCTAAAAGAAGCTATAAAAAATCTAAATCCTCATATGTGGATAAACTGTGGTACAGGTTGAATATCTCTTACCCAAAATTCTTGGGACCAGAAGTGCTTCAGATTTTGCCTTTTTCAGATTTTGGAATAATTGCATATACCTAATGAGACATCTTGGGGATGGGCCCCAAGTCTAAACACAAAATGTATATATTTTTAACATACACCTTACACACATAGCCTGAAGGTAATTTTAATATAATACGTTTATCAATTTTGTGCAGGAAACAAAGTGTTAATTGTGTTTTGACTGTGACCCATCACATGAAGTCAGGTGTGGAATTTTCCACATCTGGCATCATGTCAGTGCACAAAAAGTTTTGGATTTTAGAGCATTTTAGATTTCAGGTTTTGGGTCAACATAGCAGAGCACTCTAGCAATAAAAATTGCTAAAGGAGGAATAGCTCTCTGTTAATTAATACTGCAGTGGCTGTCAGGATATATGAAGTTTTTTTAAAAAAAGGAACAGAAGATAATATAGTATACAACCTTTTGTGTAAGAGAATAAGGGAATATAAAATTATACATGTGCCTGCTTATTTCTACAAAAGAAACATATAGTTCAGCTGTGTCCCCACCCAAATCTCATCTTGAATTGTAACTCCCACAATTCCCACGTGACATGGGAGGAACCCAGTGGGAGGTGATTAATTATGAAGATGCGTCTTTCCTACACTGTTCTCATGAGTGAATGAGTTTCATGAGATCTCATGGTTTTAAAAATGGGAGTTTTCCTGCATAAGCTCTCTTTGCCTGCTGCCGTCCATGTAAGATGTGACTTGCTCCTCCTTGCCTTCTGACATGACTGTGAGGCCTCCACAGCCACACAGAACTGTAAGTTGATTAAACCTCTTTCTTTTGTAAATTGCCCAGTCTTGGGTAATGTCTTTATCAGCAGCATAAAAATGCACTAATAAAGGCAACTGGTACCAGTGGGGAGGTGCGCTCCTGAAAAGATATCCCAAAATGTGGAAGCAACTTTGGAACTGGGTAACAGGTAGAGATGGGAACAGTTTGGAGGGCTCAGAAGACGAGAGGAAAATGTGGGAAGGTTTGCAACTTCCTAGAGACTTCTTGAATAGCTTTGACAAAAATGTTGATAGTGATATGAACAGTAAGGTCCAAACTGAGGTGGTCTCAGACGGAGATGAGGAACTTGTTGGGAATTGGAGCAAAGGTGACTCTTGTTATGTTTTAGCAAAGAGACAGGCGGCATTTTGCCCCTGCCCTAGAGATCTGTGGAACTTTGAACTTGAGAGAGATGATTTAGGGTATCTGGCGGAAGAAATTTCTAAGCAGCAAAGCATTCAACAGGTGACATGGGTGTTGTTAAAGGCATTCAGTTTTATAAGGGAAGCAGTGCATAAAAGTTTGGACAATTTGCAGCCTTACAATGTGATAGGAAAGAAAACCCCATTTTCTCAAGAGAAATTCAAGCTGGCTGCAGAAATTTGCATTACGTAACGAGGAGCCAAATGTTAATCCCCAAGACAATGAGGAAAATGTCTGCAGGGCATATCAGAGACCTTCATGGCAACCCCTCCCATCACAGGCCCAGAGGCCCAGGGGGAAAAAGTGGTTTCACGGGCCTGGCCCATGGTCCCCATGCTGTGTGCAGCCTGGGGACTTGGTGTACTGTGTCCCAGCCACTCCAGCTGTGGCTGAAAGGGGCCAACAAAGAGCTCAGGCTGTGGCTTCAGATGGTGCAAGCCCCAAGCCTTGGGAGCTTCCACACAGTGTTGAGCCTGAGGGTGCACAGAAGTCAATAACTGAGGTTTGGGAACTTCTGCCTAGATTTCAAAAGATGTATGGAAACTCCTAGATGCCCAGGCAGAAGTTTGCTGCAGGGGCAGGGTTCTCATGGAGAATCTCTCCTAGGGCAGTGCAGAAGGAAAATGTTGGGTTGGAGTCCCCACACAGAGTCCCTACTGGGGCACCACCTAGTGGAGCTATGAGAAGAGGGCCACGGTCCTCCAGACCCCAGAACAGTAGATCCACTGACAGCTTGCACCATGCACCTGGAAAGGCTGCAGACACTCAATGCCACCCATGAAAGCAGCCAGGAGGGGGGCTATACCCTGCAAAGCCAAAGGGGCAGAGCTGCCCAAGACCATAGGAACCCACCTCTTGCATCAGCGTGACCTGGATGCGAGACAAGGAGTCAAAGGAGATCATTTTGGAGCTTTAAGATTTGACTGCCCTGCTGGACTTCAGACTTGTGTGGGGCCTATAGCCCCTTTGTTTTGGTCAATTTCTCCCATTTGGAATGGCTGTACTTACCCAATGCCTGTAACCCTATTGTATCTAGGAAGTAACTAACTTGCTTTTGATTTTACAGGCTCATAGGCAGAAGAGACTTGCCTGGTCTTGGATGAGACTCTGGACTGTGGACTTTTGAGTTAATGCTGAAATGAGTTGAGACTTTAGGGGACTGTTGGGAAGGCATGATTGGTTTTAAAATGTGAAGATATGAGATATGGGAGGGGCCAGAGGTGGAAAGATATGGTTTGGCTATGTCCCAGCCAAATCTCATCTTGAATTGTAACTCCCACAATTCCCACATGTCATGGGAGGAATCTGGTGGGAGGTGACTGAATTATGGGGTTGGGTCTTTCCTGTGCTGTTCTTGTACTAGTGAATGAGTCTTATATGAGATCTGATGGTTTTAAAAATGGGAATTTCTCTGCACAAGCTCTTTGCCTGCTGCTATCCATGAAAGATGTTACTTGCTCCTCCTTGCATGATTGTAAAGCCTCCCCAGTCATGTGGAATTGTAAGTCAATTAAACCTCTTTCTTTTGTAAATTGCCCAGTCTCTGGTATGTCTTTATCAGCAGTGTGAAAACAGACTAACACAGAAACACATGAAGGAAATGCCAGAAACTCATGAGACTGGTAAGGTAAGGAAGGGGTGGGGACAGGGTGGGGGATGACACTACTCTGGTATTCCTTTTTGCATATTTTGTCTTTTGTTACTATGTTAATGTGTTACTACTCAGAAGATAACATAGAGTCAACAAGGATGGGAGGAAACCCTAAAGTGGAATACAAACAAATAAATTAACCTAACTGTATTTTAAACTGATAGCACACACTGAAAATATGATGAAGGGTGAGAAAAAAGAACTAAGTTATTTTTGACTCAAGTAGTGTTTTGACCAAAAACTTAGACTAAAGACAAAAAGAAATAAAAACAAATATTGAACTTTAGTTAGTATAAATAAAAACAAATATTGAATTCTAGTTAGTATAACTGTTTCTTGCCATAGTTCAGGTCAGAAATTGTAAAAAGCTACCATGTATCCTAGGATTGACAAGTAACTCAGTACGTTGTGAATGAAGGTCTTGAAGAAGGAAGCTACAAACATGGAAAGGGCCCTAGGGTGCTGAAATGAAATTGGAGACAACAGTATTCCCTCATCTTATTTTGCTTTTTGGAGCTTATTAGAGTGTAACTGATATGCAATAACTGCTAAAGTACAGTATTTGGTAAGTTGTGACATTATGTACATACCATGAAACTATCACTACAATCAAGACAATGAACATAGCCGTCACCTGCAAAACTCATGTCCCTTTGTAATCCCACCGTCAAATACCCCATGCCCAGACAACCAATCCAATTTCTGTCATGACTGTGTGTTTTCTAGAATTTTATGCAAACGGCATCAGAGTATGTACTAATCTTACTAGTCCGAAAGTCATCCATGCTGTAGCATGTATCAATACTCTACTTCCTTTTATTGTTGATTAGTATATATATTTTTTGAGACGGAGTCTTGCTCTGTCGCACAGGCAGGAGTACAATGGTGTGATCTCGGCTCACTGCAACCTCCACTTCCCAGGTTCAAGCGATTCTCCCGCTCAGCTTCCCAAGTAGCTGGGATTCCAGACACCCACCATCATGCCTAATTTTTGTATTTTTGTAGAGATGGAGTTTCACCATGTTGTCCAGGTTGGTCTCGAACTCCTGACCTCAGGTGATTCACCCACCTCGGCCTCCCAAAGTGCTGGGATTACAGGCGTGAGCCAAGCCCCACCTGTCGACTAGTATTTGATCATATGGATATGCCATGGTTAGTTTAACTATTTACTTGTTGGTAGACATTTGATTTCTACATTTTTGGCTATTACTAATAAAGCTGCTACGAATATTCATGTACAAGCCTTCGTATGGACATATTTTTCCATTTCTCTTGGGCAAATACACACCCAGGACTGAAAAAGCTATATCACAAGGAAAGCGCATGCAACTGCCAAACTGTTTTCCAAAGTGATTGTGCCATTTTACATTCCCACCAGGCGTGTATGAGACCCAACTGCTTCACATCTTTACCAACACTTAGTATGGTCAGTCTTCTTTCATTTTAGCCATTCTAGAGGGTGTATAGTGGTATCTCGTTATGGTTCTAATTGGCATTTCCCTAATAACTAATAATATTAACAAGTTTCATATATTTATTTGCCATCTACATATCTTTCTTGGTGAAGTCTGTTCAAATTATTTGTCCATTTAAAAAATTGGGTTATACATTTTATTATTTTTTGACATGGGGTCTCGCTCTGCTGCCCAGGCTGGAGTGCAGTGGCATGATCACAGCTCACCACAGCCTCAACCTCCCAGGCTCGAGCAATCCTCCCAGCTCAGCCTCGCAAGTAGCTGGGACCACAGGTGTATGCTACCACACCCGGCTATTTTTTTTTTTATTTTTTGTAGAGATAGGATCTCACTATGTTGCCCAGGCTGGTTTTGAACTCCTAGGCTCAAGCAATCAACCCACCTCAGCCTCTCAAAGCACTGGGATTACAGGCTGAGCCACCACACCCAGCCAGTAATTTTTTATTGGGTTCCAGACATTGTGAATTTCATCTTGTTGGATGTTGGGTATTTGTATATTCCTGTAAACACTCAGGTAGGGCTGAAGCAGTGCTCACTCTAAGGCTGATCATTCCCTACTACAGAGGCAAGACCCCCTACTCTGTATCATACCCAATGCCCCATGAAATATTTTTCCAGTCTTAGCTGGTGGGAACAGGCACTATCCCTGGCCATGGGTGAGCACCAGACATGTTTCCTCTAATTCGAAAAGTTAAAGAGGAAAGGCCTTTTCACTGACCTTAAGTAGTTTTCTTGCACAATGTGCTGGTCAGTATTCAGCTGAGTGCCAGTGGAGACTCTGCAGACCTGTGGGGTTCTCTCCCTGTGCAGAGCTGTCTCCGCTATCGTCTCTTGCATGTGAATGCCAGCCACCCTGGCCTCCCCTGATGCTCAGCTCTGCCTTTTCAACAGAGGGTCTGCCTGGACTCCCATCTGGGTTCTCCCTCTTTCTGTTACAGCACGAAAATTCTCTCAAGGCAGTAGGGCAGGGCAACTGGAGAGCTCAGTTCATTTGTTTCCCATCTCTCAAGAGATCACTGCCCTTTGGTGTCTGAAAACCATTGCTTCATATGTTTTGTCATTGTTTTCATTGTTTCACATGGAAGGGTAAATGTTAATCTGCCTTTGCTGGAAGCCAAATTCATGGTTTTCACAGACATAGAGACAGGTGTATCTGTGCAATTTGTTGTGCATATATATGCACGTATGTATGTGTATATGTATGTACACAACAAACACATACACACACATACATACATCTATTTCCTGATACTATTGGCTACGAAAGCAATGACATAATAGCAGCAATGAACACTCTGAGAACCCGGATCCTAGTTCCTAAATACCATTCTCCAGGGTTCCTTGAAGAAATGGCTGATTCCAGGGCTGGCACAGAATACAAATTGAGCTCAGCATATATTAGTATGCCAAGAAGAAAGGAGGTGCTCAAAGAATGGTGGGGACATACCAGAGGGACAAAGGAGCCAGCTTGAAGGAGCTCCCACCCATGAGGCAAATCTAAGACAATACGAGCATCATAATACCCCTACTAATGGATTACAGTCATGGAAAAAAAAAGAATCCATTAGTCCACACTGATCTAAAAATAAATTAATAAATAAATAAGAGAGAAGGAAAACCTTCCTTACAATAGAATGTTAATCACCATTTGGCAACCATTGTAGTAATAACTGACTGAGGAAAGAATCATCAATAGATATTAAAACTAGTGGATAAAAGTTTGATGAGAAACAGGATATTTACACAGTCTCAAAGCATATTCCTTGAAAGCACAAATTAATTACAAAGGTAAAAATATTAACCTTAGCATTGAGAAACCTGGCAGACTCCACCTTAACCAAGTGATCTTAAAAATCAACTTGTAATAGGTCAAACCAGCATGTGTCTCCTGATAGATGCACTGAGTAAGATACGGTATCACCTCTGTGGCATTCCTACCAAAAAAAAAATGTATGCATAGATGGGTGTGTGTGTGAATGATAAAGCAAAAGCTGAAAAATGTTAATAACTTAGATAAAGGATATAGGAGAGTTCTTCGTATTATTCCAACTGATTTTTTTTTGAGACCCAACTGATTTAAGTTTGAAATTACTTCAAAATATGAAATTAACAAAAAAATTAACCATGCTAAATAAAAGTCTTTCTGAAATGCTACACATAAACCTGCCTTCTTAAACTGAGTACCATAAGCAGCAATCTTTGGTAACTCAAGGCCATCACATTGTGAACACAGTGACTGCTAAGGGATCACTAAGCAGGGCTATCTATATACTCCATGGTCTTGAGCAATTGTTGAGTCTACATCTCCTAACTTTTCTCCCTTGACATAAGCTATCAGCTTTCATACTTCTAGAATGTCTGTCTCTAGCCACACGCTTGTCCCTCTCCCTTATGATGTTACTTTAATCTCCTGTGGTTGGAAAATCAGATTAATGTAGCATATAGCATGTAAAGTAACTGCCTACTAATGTTCAGGTAGTACACATCGATTTAAGAATTGCACACCTCCCATGAGTGGCCATAAGTACTATTGTTTTCCAAAGTTTCAAATTATTCTAGGTCTTCAGAAAAGAGGTGTAAATACGATTTTTAAAATGTCAATATATTTCAAATCTAAATTTTTGAAGAAAAACACTAATGGCTGACAGCCCTCTATGCACCATCAGTTAAAGACTGCTACTGCTAGAAACAGCCTACTCATTTTCTAATCCTAGCATCCCTGTGGCAAACGTATCAAATGGATTACCTGATTTTTTGAAAAGCTTTTCCAAAACATAATCGTCATTGCTCTGTTCCTTGGCCTCACTCTTGTTTTCACTGTCTTGCTTCTGGTAACGCCTTTTCTTCACCAGGTGTGGAATTCGAGTTCCTTCAAACTTGGCGTCTCTGCAATGCTTAGAGTTCTTAGGCTTTTGCTTTGGTCTCAGATGTTTCTCCAGGGTCTCTTCTTCTGCCACACTATGATGTTTTGTTTTTGACTTGTGCTTATAAAAATTATTTTCCATTTGTTTATTCTCCCAAAAAGCTTCTGTTTGAGCCTGGCTGGGTCTTTCTCTTTTGTAAGAAAGACCTAACTTTTCATCAATGCTTTCATCACCAGATGGCATAGAAGTTTTGCCTGTTCCTGAAGAATTTGAACATTCCCCATTTCCACTAATCACTGACAACTCTTCTGGTCCAGATACTGCATTTGTCTCTTCTCCAAGCCTATCATTGCTAGTTACATTACTACTCATGTGAGGGTCATCTTTCAAAGGATCACTTCGATTAGAAGTTACTGCATTTACTTCAGCTCCTTTAGCCTCAGATTTCTCTTCAGATGATGTGGCATCATTTACAGATATGTTAGAAGCAGGGAACTTCTTGCGTTTTGGAACATCATGGTCTGCTCCAAAGGCTGGTTGAATCCTTCTTTTTAGATGGCATTTGGGTGTCTGAACATCTGATCCAGTTCCTGTAAAGAGGAAAAACACCACTAATACTATATTGTATCATCTTGTGCAATTGATTACTTTAAATTAAATGATTTTATGTAATACCTGCAAAAATTGCACTTGTTTCAGTGCTCTGGGATGCATCAGGACTAGTCAGAGTAAATAGCTCATAGAGATCATTGGATTTGAAAAACCGCCTTTGTTTTGGGTCTTTTAGCACTCTATTTGTCAAAAACTGCTTGAAGATTTGTCTAAAAAAATAAAAGATAAGCTGGTATAAAACAATGTGTAGCTCTACCTAAAAATTCAAGTTATAAAGCAATATAAGAGAGAGATGATAACAGCTGCTGCATGAATGGCTAAATAATCCCCCAAACTTTCAGCCTTGGAAAATTACAATTCAGGAAATATATAATACATCAGTTAATCTCCCAGGTCTTGCAGAATTTAAATTAGAAATAATACCTTATTATTTACACCGAATGAGCTTTTTCAACCTCCAAGATCTAACACATTTCAAGAAACACCTTTTCACATGCCATCATGTGACTCATAGTCTCTCTTAGCCTCCTTGACTTGAATACCAAGGGTCCTGCCCTGCCTAGAACCTTCCTATCATAGGGCTCAGCAAACTCTCTTACCTGGGCTTTGCAATGTCTCCACTCTGACCTCTCTCTCCCTGCTCCCACCTGCAGGTCCACACTCTGCTGAAGCCCCACACCACTGCCACTCTGGAACAGGCACCTCCACCAGCCACCCTGTCCCTCCCTGTCATTTATTCTCCCAGCTAAAGCATGAATCTATAAAAGGAAGCTCTCTTCTCACAGGATCCAACTCGTCCTCCACCCTCACACAACACTCCCTCGAGGAAGATGTAATGTTCCAGGAATGGCCCAGCATGTGGTAAAGGGCACAGAGCTTCCTATAAAAGCTGGGCTATGGCTCAAGGATAAAGTCTGTGGTGGGGGAGTGGGAGAAGCTGGCAATGTCTTGATTCTACTGTTGAAGTTACCACTGTCTAAAATCCCCTAGTCATTATGGAAAGACAGAGGACGAAACAGCCATCCTGTCGACTTCTTTGTAAGGGGCATCAGAGTCAAAGACTGCCAGAACACCCACACTGATCCTACCTGCATAATGTGGTATGTAAACACCAATATGGTAACATTCAACCTTGTCATTTTTTAAAATTTTTCTGAAGGCAACACACCATAGCAGGCAGAAATATTCCTTTCAAATAACAATATGAAGTTTACATGTATGTGATTCTTGAGGTAGAATAAGGTACAAAAATTATCAGGTTCAAAGACATTTTTTGACAACTCACAGTAAGACATCTAAGCATATTTTAAAGGGAAAGAAAAAATACAAAACAAAAACCAAAGCCTTAAGTTATAGCAACTATTATTCTAAGATGTTAAGACTTTTAAAAACAACACTTTGGAAAAATTCCCTGCTCAAGACTCTGGGAACGCACAGCCAAGAGTGGCCACTGTGTGCACTGACCGGTGGTAGATCTTTTCTTCAATGGTGCCCGCAGTCAGGAGCCTGTACACAGTCACTTGCTTCTTCTGGCCTATTCTCCATGCTCGCTCCCGGGCCTGCAACAGAGAGAGAGAGACCTCTCAACGAGAATCCTTCCCAATGACAAGCACTGACTATAAGAAACAAAGCTAGCTGGTCACTACCTGTCACTCCCAGAGTTAGAATTTTGACTCATGACGTCAAGTACACCTAAGGCCTACTCAGGAAGATGAACAGCCAGTTGAAAAGACATCTCTACTTGAAAAAATGTTTGTAACTTTGCCTATGTTCTTTTTACCCCAACTCTAGGAATGAATGCTATGGATAAACTGCTGAAGATGGTTCCTGTCCATTTGACTCTGAAGGGTGTCTTCTTTCACGTTGAAGAACAGGAGACAATCAAAATGTGAAACGTATGCTGAAGCCAACCAGAACATCAAAGGACAGTCAAAAGCGCTAACCATGAAACTATATTTCTACTAATACATTCTTTTAAAAAAAAAATAAAAACAAACCTGCGTGTCCGTGCTTGGGTTCCAGTCTGGGTCATAGATGACAACTCTGTTTGCCCCCGTCAGGTTGACACCTAAGCCGCCCACCCGCGTGGTCAGAAGAAACACAAATATGGATGTGTCCTAGAGGTAAGACACACAACACTGAGCACACACACTTAAGACCAGTTACAGTTCTCAGCCTCTGCCTCCACATATTGTACACATGGAATTACTGGGCTGTTCCCAATATAAGGAATGGTAATGTCCTAGAGACCTCTGGTGAATCAAAATCTCATTTCACAGCTTTTACTTTTAATATTTAATAGAAATATTTAAAAATTGGGTTTTTAGGAGGAAAATACATGCTGTAGAAAACGCATTCTTTGTTTGAACATACACATGCCCACAATCCCCGCCCCCAAATATCCAGAAGTAGGGCATAGAGTTAAAAACAACAAGTCTCCCCTTAGGCCCCCTCCCAAGCCCAGATGTCAATGCTGCTTTGGTGGGTAAGGGTGTGGATACGCTTAGTCCTTTCCCTCCACGTACAGCAGCACCACTCAACTTCCCTGTTACATTCACATGTTACCTCATTGTATCTCGTAATCAGTGGCTGTCTTGAAGCTATTGTAGTGGTACCATCCATCTTGAGATAGGTATACTTTTGGGCTCTAAGGAATACTTCAAGTATGTCCAGCATCTGTTTGGAGGTGGGGGATAGGAGTTTGCAAAGCAAATACACATTCCCAGTGAGTGCTTCTCTATTTGTGTAAATGGTAACACCTTCCCCAACAGGCCTATGTTAAAAGGAGTTTCTTGCTTTAGGACAGATAAACAGAACTGTTAAAAGAGTATTTTTGGTATTTCCGTATGGTTAATTCTTACTTTTGTAAACAGCCAAAGCTCAGGCCTAAACTTACTTGCAGACTAGAATCACATGGTGAGCTTTTTTAAAAAGTCAACTTTTAGACACCAACTCTAGAGAAAGATCTAAACTCCCAAAGAAATCGGTAGACTGCCACCTCAGCATCAGTGGTAGACTTGCTTCAGAATCATTACTTTAGATTGAATCCCATTTTGTGAGTTGATGGCTGTCATAAAGAACCAGCCTGTTTCCCGTCTGAAGTCTGTGCACTCACCTGCCTTGACTGAGAAAACAGCAATACTCGCTGACCCTGCTTGTGCCATATTTTCAACAAAGACTCAACAACAATCATTTTCCCAGAACGTTTCCAGTACCCAAACTGATCTTCTTCTAGTTCATCATCAGGAAGACCTTTGAGATTCTTGGGACCTCCAGAAAAGAGATCAGGGTGGTTGCAAATTTTTCTTAGGGCTATAAGTCCGGAGAAAATCTGTGGTAAGAAAGAGTACATGTACACTCAGATGACCCCATGTAAAGTAAGATTCCCTAGGCAAGGAGGCTGTTTAACCTATAACACAGACTAAAAAACAGTTCTCCACCAGCTTCTTAGTTTCTTCTCTAGTCACAGCATTATCATGAGCTGGGAGAAATTAACTTTCACTCATCTTGTTTCCCTGATAGAACAAGTTCTCAGAAACAAAAAAATTCTACTGGACTGAACACGTCTACAGGGGTCATATTCAATTGCTGATAATTCATTTTCCCTCACTAGAAAAAAGGTATGCAGTTCACGGTATTATAAACCTAATATAAAAAAGGAATTCGCCTTTTAAATATGGATCAGAAATGTCCTATCAACCTAAATTTGGAGACATCAGTCATGTGACTTATCAAATGCATTTAAATATTACACTCCTAATTACCTCACTAAAAGTTCTGCAGTTTAATATGAGTCAGAGGTTGAGGATCCATTTACCTTTAGATTATTATTATATCAGAAAAAAAACTGCATGAAAAATGCACGAATAGGAATGCACGAATGGGAAAGATATGGTCCATGCAGAAGGGCACAGAAGACAAGGGGTGAGTGCCCCGGCCCATCCCCACAAAAGAACATTAACAAAACTTCAATAATGGGGCTCTTCCAGCCTTGAGAGGATGATTCAAATCAAACTCACTGGTCTAAAAGCTTGAGCAGAGGAGAAATCACCATTAAGCCAATAATCAAAGGGTAGGGTAGCTATCACTAGTAAACAACAGTAAACAGATTAACAATAAATGATCTGAATAAGTCAGGAACATTGGTAAACCTCCCCAGAGTCATCCGTGACTCATTCTTCTTCCTTTCAATCTGCACTGTCCAATGCAGTAGTCACTAGTCACACGTGGCTACTGAGCACATGAAGTGTGGCTAGTCCAAATTGTGATGTGCTGCATATGTAAAATACATACCCAATTTCGAAGACAGAACAAAAAAGGAGTAAAATATCTTTTTAATCATTTTTAATTTTTGATTACATATTAAAATGTATTTTAGATATATGAAATAAAATATATATCAAAATTAATTTCACCTGTTTCTCTTTTTCCTTTTTAATGTGACTACTAGAAAATTTACAATTCCAAGTGTAGTTTGCATTCCCTTTCCTGGATAGTGTGATCTAGACCCCCTAACTTGGAAAGACCTGAAGAAGTTAAGGGGAGATTCATGGAGATGAATAGATGTGAATGACTGAAGAACCTCCTGTAGCAACCAATAAGAAATGAAATAAGAAATTGTGAGAGATGGTTAAAAGAACTGAAATGACCTAATCACACTCACATTATTTATACAATAGAGTCTTTTGGAGAAGACACTAGCTAGGAACTTCTGAATTCTGGACACTAGTAGAAAGAGAGCTTTCTCAGTATTGAAAGGAACAGAATCACCATAAATAAATTACTGTCCTACCCTGGGGACAATGAGAATTAGAGCCAGGGACATTTGAACCAGATTTATATCTGGTTCCTAACATGGCAATGGTTCATAAACATTTATTGGGGAATGGGGCTCCTTTAGGAAGCTGATGAAAGTTATGAATCCTCATGATCCTCTCCACAAGATATATAATTCTGGTCATAATATCTGGGAAAATGCAGCTATGTACCTGACACCCGCCCACCTACCAGGTAAGACCCTCGGAAGTAACAGTAACTGCACAGCTCGCAGCTGCATTTGCGTCTGGGTTCAGATCCACAGCACACAGCTCTGCAACTTTCCACCTTTCACCAGTTACCTACTCCTCTGCACCTTACGGCTCCAGGCCATAGGCTGACTGCACATCTACCATGCGGGACTTCATGCAAGTGAAGTGAGATGACAGTACGTGAAAAGCCTGGCACAATGTAGATCCTAGTTTCTTTTCCTCCCTCACTTCTCTTGGTCCACAATTCATTTCTCCAGCTTCTATTTTTTAGCTGACCTGCATCTCTCCATTGAGAATCCTGTAAACTTCTTTGGAATCAACGAAATTTTGGTAGACTTTATGCTGCTCATCTGTAAGACGGCAAAATAAGACCTACGGACGGGAAAAACAAGGAAACTATAATTTCAAAAAAAAAATTAACAGAAATAATTAAAATATCAACAAAACTTCCTGATCAAAAGAGCACAATGCATGCGATTTTAATGATATCCCTATTATTAATATTAAAACAACAAAGGGTGACAATACTTCTCACCATACCCTGCTCACCAGCCCCTCCATCTCTGTCACTTGTCTACCTCCAGGGCCCATCCCACAGTCCCCAAAGACTGGCTTCCTGCTCACGGGCAAGTTCAGTGCCCAGGTGCACAGACCATCCTCCACGTTAGCCTCCAAGTGCTCAAACCATCCCACCTCCCATGACCCATGCCATGCTCTACTCGGCAGACCTGACCAGAGACCACAACCTCACCTGGAGCTCTCCCTCTCCTGGAGCTCTAAGTGCAGGCCCATGAGTTACCAGACTTGCCTTGGACGGCAACCCTTACCCTCCCAGCCCACTGCACCAACCACTCCATGCGATCGTGCTCTGTGACCCTTCACCTCTCAACCCTCCCTCCTTCGCAAAGTCCACCACCGCCAGTTACATTCCCACGGATGCTCATTTAGCCACCCCTCTGCCACCTACCTGGACCCCTTTCAACCCCCTGCATCTTCCCTGTAAACATCCAAAGGTAGGTCAACTCAACCATCAGTCTTCTGCAGACCTATGGTCAGTGCCGGTGCTGCTGGAGAAAAGCTCATACATGGCAGCATCCTGCCATGGCCTGTCCTGCTCCAGGGGGTCCTCTACGCATGCCCGCCCAGCATCTTCCACAAGCCCAGAGCAACTGTGCCCATGCTCCTCACCACCCAAGCCACCCGCAACTCTGTCTCAACTTCTACTTAAAAACAATCAGACAAATAAAAACAAAATGAAAATCAAACCTGAACCTACCAGGATCAGGCATGATTCCCTGGTTTTCACTCCCTAACATGTCTCTACTTCTGCATCCACCTCATTTTCCTTTATTCCCAGAGGAAGAGGTTCTTGTACAGGATGGAGGGCAACCCTTCCACCTCTGCACTGTATCTGAAGACCCACTCATTCTCCCCAGTACAGTGCCTCACCCATTAGCCTCCAAGTGGAAGATGGGGGCATTCCTGAGAAAATTAGGTACCATCCCCACCTCCACTTCCTCACCTCCAGTCACTCCTGAAGCCCGCACCCAGAGCAAGCCTCACGGGCACCTCTGTTGATGCCACTGAGGCATCACTCATGACTTCCTAGTGGCCAAACACACTGGGTCCTTTCCAGGTCACCCTACTCACCTTCCGATGCCCAGGTCTTCACTTCTGTTCATGCACCTGTCTGTGCCAGCCTCCCCAGTCTTCCCAGCTAGCTCCTCCTCTTCTACCCTCCTCCTTGCTCCCAGCCCTGACCACACTGGCCTCCCTGCTGTCTATGAAGGCCCCAAAGCACTGCCACAGCTCACCATCTGCAATGCTCTGCCTTCAAAACCTACAAGACTTGCTCCTTCGCCTTCTTTAGGCCTCTGCTCAGGTGTCAGTTCATCAAAGGTCTTCTCTGACCAACCCTTACAAATGGCCCACTTCCCCAAATCCTTGCCCTCAGCATTCCCAGCTTATCCTTCAACCCTGCTTCATTTGTCTCCACACTTAATGCTGCCACCTGACATCTTCTATACCTTTTTGTGACACTCTCCCTCAAGAATAAATGTGAGTCCCCATGAGAACAAAACTTGCTTTGTTCACTGCTGTATCTCAGAGCCTAGGATCACGACAGGCATATGGTTGGCACCTAATACAATTTGTAGCATGAATGAATTAGGGGCTTAAGGAGAATGGAGATGTTTAAAAGAGTAGCTATAGGAATCCATGTGTCAGTAAGAGGGAGGTCAAAGCCTGTGGACTAGAGAAGAATCCACTGAGGGCAGACGCCACAGCGGGCCTAGCCTGCCCACAGTTCCAGGATCATACCTCACCAGACTCTCTCATCCGCAGAGGAGAATCAGAGTGAAGGGAAAGACACACTTGTGCTTTAGGAATGCTTCGTTAACTCCTGGATTTACAGACCTGTTCATTTTTATCTGGCAAAGAAAGGCTCATCTTGACATCTGACTTCATTCTCCGCAGTAGGTATGGATTTATGGTATCTCGTAAGACACATGCACACTTGTAAGCAGTTTTGACCTTTAATAAGAGCAGAGAAGGGAACATTACTATATATGTTTAAGGAACGCATTTGTTCTTACCTCTCAATTGCTTCCATTCCTTAAAAAAAAAAAAAGAATAACCAACAGCTGTATAAAGTCAGTGGGAAATGATTGCAAAATGGTTTGAAAAAGCTAGCATAAGTTCCATATACTCCAAGGGGTGGTAGCTTTCATAATATTATCAGTTAAAAAAATTATCTCATTAACCAAAATGTACAACAAAAGAAAAACTGATAATTTTGTGCCTTATTTCTCTTATACACTTTCCTTTAATTATTACTATACAGTTAAACCCTAAAGTAGAGACTTACTGGGTTCTTGACCACCAGCCCTAGGGGAAAAACTGCTTTTGTACAAATCTCTGTTTATGATCTTGTATTCTCCAAAAGCTACAAAGGAACTCTGCAAAGCTGAAGATCAAAAGCTAACTCTGGGGAAAAGCTACAGTGATGGAGCAGCCAGCCAATAAGCAGAGATTACTGTCCACTGGAGACTTACAAGAGTAAGTTCAACAAGAGCCCTCTGATCCCAGAAACGAAAGGTCACTCTGCCCTAAAATGCAGCATATGGTTCTGTAATGGAGCACGGCCACATGAGATGAGTACTAAATATACGCAAAAAAAAAAAGCCCCACAGCCCAGAAAACCACTCCCTCTGCAATTCACTTACAGGCAAAGTAGTCAATAAATTATTGCTACTTCAAAAAAAATCTAAATAGGCTTAACAACTTAGTAAATTACTATTTCATGGAAAAAATTCCAACCAAAGTTTAAATTTAAGAAAGTCAGCTGTAAAATGAATGATAATAAAAAAGAGCTTGACCACACACACAGAAAAAAAAGTTAAAAAATTAACTTGTTAAAAAATGTTCTTAAAGAACGCTAAAAATACCTCACTCATGCACATATATGTATGTGTGTGTATCTGTTGTATGAATGCATGTGCGTAAATATTAAAATAGGCTTTACTTTGAATAATACATAAAAAAGAAGCTCAACTAATCAATGACTTTTAGTTATATATAACTCCTTAAATATATCATTCAGACTGATGAATATCACCTTGAAGATGATGATGAGGTACATATTATGATTTCTGATGCAGAGATGATGAAATTTCAGAATTTAAAAACATAGTCCCACTGAGGAAGCACGAATGTACAGTCTATAAAGAAAACTGCCCCCACATCCTCCCTCCACCCACACCCCCTTCCGCAGAAGAGCGAGCATGCTGGTTGGAGGTGCTGGTCAACTAAACCAGGGCTAGGCTGGGGAACGGCCGGGCTGTGGCTCCTGCTCTCTCCTGCATGCCACCCCATGGAGATGATCTTCTGTTTCACTCCCAACTGGCTCCCAGTCTGTTCCTCTATTCATAAAAACACAAGGTGGGGATTCAGCTAGATTTCTCTACCAATGCTCACATCCCAGTGCTGTGGAAAACAGACAACTTGCTGAGCATGCCCATGCTCCTTCCCATTCTGACAAGGCAGAGCTCTGCCTCTTCCTGAGCACAGTGACCTTAGGCAAGTCACCAGAACGCTGAGAATCAAAAACCTTGCATGTGGAATAAAGAGGGTCAACTAGGCGTCCCTGCAGGCTCTTCTCAGTTCTCACATGCCCTGCCCCAGCTGAGCACACCAACCCCAGCAGCAGTCTATATTTGGGCTGCTGACATGCTCCCCATCACCTTCCTCACCTTTCAGGCCCCAGGTGAGTCATCCCTTCTCCGAGAAGCCTTTCTGAGCCCCATAAGCTCTGACACTGGGCATCTCCCCTGATCACAGTCCTCACTGCCCTGTACTGGGACCAGGTTTATTTGCCATTTTCCCCTGTGCCCACCCCTACTGGACTGGAAATACCTTCATGGGAAGGTTCTGGTTTCTAGCCCCTGCCATCATTTTAGCACCAGCATGACAGAATAAATACCGGCACACAGACTATCTTCTTAGAATTCAATAATGCAAGGCAACATGGTCTCAAACAAAAAGGAGCAAATACAACCAATACTCTGCTTCCAAAGATCTCACCCGCTAGGAAGGGGAGAAAGATAAGTACACAAATTCCTGAAACAAGAACTTCAAGGAAAAAAACAGATCATAATGACATGTTCTCAAATAATTTTTCTATAAATGACTTATTAATGCCAAAGGAGAAGTGGTAATCTCACAGAGTTTAGATCTGGCCAACACCACCTTAAAGTAATCAGAGTTAACATCACCCATAGTGGAACAAACAGACAGCATGTTCCTCCAGATACCATGCACTGAGGAAGACACATCACTTCTGTGATATTCCTAGCCAAAATGTATAACCTGAATCCAATCATGAAGAAATGTAAGGCAAACCCAAACTGAGGTACATTCTACAAACTAACAGGCCTATAGTCTTTAAAAATGTCAAGGTAATGAAGGGCAAAGAAACAGTCCCAGATTAAAGGAGACTAGAGACACGGAAACTACTGGAACTGACAAAATATGAGTGATTATAGACTAGATAACAGACTCCTATTAATGTTAAACTTCGTTCTGATTTTGTTGCTTACACTGGCTATGTAAGAGGCGATCCTTGTTTTTGGAAATACACACTGAGGGATTTGGAGAAAGGGGCATCAGATCTGCAACCTGCCCTCAGGTGGTTAGAAAACAGTAACCTCAGCTGTGAATCTACATGGAAAGAGGTGTGGGAGAGGGAGGGGAGGAATGGTAAAGCCAATGTGGCAAAATGTTTGCAAAATGCTAACAATCAGTGAATCTGGGTGAAGTGTTAAGAAGGTTTTCTTGTTTGTTTGTTCTTTTAAAATTCTTGCAACTTTCTGTTAAGTTTGAAATTATTTCAAAATAAATTTTTTTAAAAAAAAGAATGGTATAACAGGAGATTCAGAGAAAGAAGAGACTCCTTACAAAAGTTAACTGAAAATCATTCAATCTCAAAATGTAAAATATATTAAAATTGTTTTTGACAATCTTTTAATCTTAAAGGTCTAAAATTCTTTTTCTAATTAAATACTCCAAAATACGAGAGCTTCCCTTTTGGTGGAAGGTCTCATCCCTGGCTCAGCCATGACCTGGTAGGCACAGGCCCACCCAAGAAGGGATGCACAGAAACCGTGCCTCCCACCCAGGCTGCAGCCTGCCATACAGGCCACAAACCACCCTATGGCTAACTTCACCTCCTGGCATTTCTGCCTGTGACCACCCCATTCCATCAGGCACCCGGGCCTGAAACCTCAGGAGTCAGTCAGTCATTCACAGCAAGCTTAGCCCCTACTCCATCTCCTCGATCCTGTCAGCCTCCAAACCTTGTTTGTTCTGCCTAAAAATGCCACCTGCGTCTCCTGCCCCACCATCTTTCTCAGACCACCACCCAAGATCAGGTCCAGGTCCTCATGGCCCTCACCCCAGTGGTTCCTGCAGGTCACTCAGTGCCAGCCTCCCTCTTGTGACTACCCTGTAGCCTGAGGAACCCCTGAGAACCAGCATCCTCCAGAGTCCTGCTCAGACACTTTCAGTAACCCAGCCCTCCCTGAGTGCCACTGCTTCCCTTTCAAGGCCCCACAGTTCTAGCATCCACAGCTTTTTAGCTATGCCCCCACAAGCATCTCCAATCCAGTCAAGTGGGTCTCTTCACTGCGCCCTGCCACATATGGTGGCTGCATCCACACTGTTGCCCTAATCAAGAATGCCCTCACTCTCCATGGCCTACATTCCCAGAATCAGGTTAAGGGGCATGTCTCATTAAATCATCCCTGAACAGTCCAATCCTCCTAGTGTCCCCTTTTCTAAGTTTCTCCACTACTTTATAAGATGCACTACCCCAGTTTGCAGGACTAAATTACATGCTGTTCCAAACTGATTTGTCCTTGTTTCATAATTTCTAACTGCTCTTCTGACCACATGTGACATCTTTTTAAACATCCCAGGAACAATGCCAAAACTGTTTAATTTCCATTAAACAAGGAGATATTTTATTCTAGGGCTTTCCTCTCTGTGAATAGTTTTCATGATGTTTTAAGTGAAAAAATATGATCAAGCAAAGATAATTTTGTGATTTTTTTTTTTTTTTTTTAACCAGATACCAATTTATGAGCCTGGCCATCTTTCTCACATTCTGAATGACTTGGCTACAAATTATAGTATTTAATAGGAGCACTTTAAATATTAAAATGCCAAAAGTATTATCATCCTAATATTTTACCTGTACTGGGGAAGCATTTGAATATCCCCCCATGGTGATGGGGACGGAGAACTGCTCCATAAACACAGGCAACGTGCCTAACTTTCCCGGGAAGATGAAGTCAAAGAGCGACCACAGCTCTCGGAGGTTATTTTGCATCGGTGAGCCAGACAGAATGATCCGATGAGGGGTGCGAAACTATTTGAGGAAAGGAAGCACCTTTTTATTAAATTTACCTTTTAGCAATCGCCATTCCTACCCTAAAACGCTCCTCTGCAAATTATTTACACATTTACTCATCATTCTTGCATCATTTTGGTACTCTCCAAAACATACACATTTTATGCAATTACAAATCCTTAATTACATTTAGATGAAAAAATGAGAAAGAATTTTTTCTTATTGTTGAAGCTGAATACTATAGATTAGAGTTGGGTTTGGTTACATTCTAACAACTGGCCCCTACAAGAGACATTAAATAACATGAACAATCAGAATTAAAGACATGATTAAGGGCAAAAATAAAGAGTTTTCTGCATTAAGGAAAATGCACATTTTAAATTTCTTGTGCAGTTGGCACAAGGAAAGATTCAATAAATGTGTTACTAAAAGCAGATAGTTTATTCTGAATTAATTATTCTTCTCCACTTGGAAATCTCCCTTGTTAAAAGAGGTCATACCTGTTTGCAAGCAAGGGTGACAGCAGCATTTGGATTTCGAATTTTGTGTCCTTCGTCCAAGATCACATAGTGCCAGTCATACCTGCTAATGTCATCCTGCATCAATCGAATGTAGGAGTAAGATGTGATCAAAATTCCATGACAATGAGCAACATCTCGAATTAGTTTCTCCTGAGACCACAATAAAATGGTAAAGTCAGTTTTAAATAAGAAGTGACACCCTTTCAATCATGACACAATCTAAAGTACTTTATAAAAATGCACAAATACAAACATAACATGCACAATCACAGACATTATCAGCACTGGAAGTGTACTTGTTAACCTGGCAAGTAGTAAACGCTGACTAATACAGCCGTTATTAGGGGAAGGAGACTCTCAAAAAGATGACAAAGTTATAATACATATATTTATAAATATATACATATATTAAATTATTATTTTTATTTTTTCAAAACATCCTTTGTGTCCATTCTTGTCAAAACAACAATGTGGATGGAAAATATATTAATTTAAAACAAAAGCAAGAAAATAAGAGAAAATCCAAAGAGACAAGGCAGACAAATCTAGGATCTCTAACAATGTATAACAAGAATTCCAGGACAGAGTGAAAAGGATATAAAAGCAATGATTTTAAAATGATAGAAAAAAAGCCGGGTACAGTGGCTCACAACTGTAATCCCAGCACTTTGGGAGGCTGAGGTGGGTGGATTGCTTGAGCCCAGGAGTTCGAGACCAGCCTACGCAACATGGTGAAAGCCTATCTCTAAAAAAAAATTTTAAAAGTTAGCTGGATGTGGTGCCAAGCACCTGTAGTCCCATCTACTCAGGAGGCTGAGGTGGGAGGATCCCTTGAGCCCAGGAGGTCAAGGCTACAGTGAGCAGTGATGGCACCACTACACTCCAGCCTGGGTGACAGTCAGACTCTGCCTCAAAAAAAAAAAAAGAAAAAAAAAAAAAGAAAATGTTAGAAAACAATCACCATAAATGGAGCCGAGATTTGAATCTACAGAACAAAACATCTCCCAGAGTGTCAGGCAGAGACACTAAGAAAAAGACGCATCTGTAGACATATCTTACTAGATGTCTGAATTCCAAAAATAAATAAAAACAGCCAGGCAAAGTGGCTTATGTCTGTAATCTCAGCACTTTGGGAGGCTGAGGGAGGAGAATCGCTTGAGGCCAGGAGTTCAAGACTAGCCTGAACAACAAAGCAAGACCCTGTCTCTACAAAAAATAAAAAAATTAGCACTGCATGGTGGTGCACAGCTGCAGTGCCAGCTACTTAGCAGGCTCAGGCAAGAAGATCCCTTGAGCTCAGGAGTTAGAGTCTACAGTGAGCTATAATCTCACCACTGCATTCCAGGCTAGACAACGGCGCAAGATCCTGACTCAAAAGAGAAAAATGTTTTTAAAAATAAGGAGAAAATGTCATAGATTCTAGTCAGAACAAAACAGAAAAAGAAAATATTCCCTTCAGAGGAAAAAGACTACCTGCATCAGACATCTTTTCTGCAACACTAAAAATGTCCGAAGGCAAAGAGGAAAATCTTTACGTAATTCTAAGAAGGAAAAGTGGTGACCATGGATTCTACATCAATCCAAACTAGCAGTCATGCTTGATGAATAAAATAAACAAATTCCAGCTTCAGATAGGCAAGGACTTGGAAGATCAGTCACCAAGAGATTGGCTAACTACAGTGCACTGCACCCAGACAGTGGAGTGGTGCAGTCGTGGACAAAGAGGAAGGCATGCACAAATGCCATGCCCTGAAGAAGGAAAGACAGCAATGCTCCTGCACCACATTCTCACCACAGACCATGCTCACAGCAGCTCCCCAAGGAAGGACAGAGGGGCCATCACTAACCCCATTTTACAGATGAGGGAACTGGGGCTTGGAAATGGTAACTAATGTACCAGGTCACGCAGCTGCTAAGTGGTGGAGTCAGAATTCGAACGGAGAAAGGCAGCCAAATCCAAAGCTAGTACTATTGACACTAGGCTACACTACCTCCTACTAAAATATAAAAGAAAAAGTTTAAAAAGAAGATTGTATGTGATATACATACCATTTAAAATAAATCATTAAAGCATAACAACAAAGCCTAAATATTAAACACTTAAATATGAATGAAACTGTTAAGAGGGGATCTAAAATATTAAAAGGTATATATTTTTAAATGTTACTGTAATTCCTGTTCAGTTTCATAAAAGCTGGATTGAGATTAAGGGAAAATAAAAGTGAACTAAAAATTCCACCCTGTCCAATGGTAGAAAGGTACACAGGCAATAGATATTTAATTCTTAACTATGTGAGAAAAATATGTTAAAATACATTTGCCAAAACTTTATGCTGATTACTGAGTAACAGTTGCTACTTCCACCTAAAAACTAGAAAATAGAATGTAGAACTATCAAACCATTACAGAGGAAAATAATAGAAAATAGCAAAAATCAGGACAATATAAAACAGAAAACAAAATACCAGGTTTCAAACTAAACCTAGTAACCCACCACAAGACAGTGAGTTATTAACAGGGAGACATTCCACTGGGTAAGGCAAAAACCTAGCCTTCTGTTTAAAAGAGACCCAAACCAGACTGGCACTGAAAGTTGTAATATGGGAATTATCAAAGATATATCAAAGAAATGCCAACCAAAAAAGGGCAGGCTTAGCAATGTAAATATGAAACAAAAAGGAGTGAACAGAAAGAGGGATATTTTATATTTTAATGGGGATGCCACAATAAGAAAAAAGAACCATGAACCTTTACCTACCAAAACGCACAGCAATAAACACAAAAGCAGGGCCCTTAGAGCTGTCAAAATGACACATCCACAGCCTACCCAGAGAGCTGACCACAGCCTCTCTGAGAGAAAGTCAGATCAAAGAAAATAAAACATTTACAAAGAGGATGCAAAGGATTTGAGTATCACCATCAGACCTCCTTTCAACAGTGATCAGCAGCACTTTAGACTATACAAAGAATATTCATTCTTTACAAACACTCTATTAAGAAAAGCTGAAATCAAAGAGAGCAGTCAACTTAGCCTCCCAAAAAAGGAAAATGAGAGAATTAGTAAGATAAAAATTAGTGGGTATTAAAAAAACTGGTAGAATTGATAAAGCAAAATAATAATAACTCTTTGGAAAGACTAAACCAAACAAACCTCTGAAAAGTGAGCCAAAATAACAGACTGAGATGTACAGCATCAGAAATGTCAAAGGAACACAATTACAGATGTAGAGAATACAAAAGTGTTAACCAATATACATGCTACAAAATCTGAACATTTTGACAGATATGATAGCTAAAAAGTTCGTTGCAAAAATGGACCCAAGAAAAATCAGACCAACAGAACAAACCAATACTGAACAATGTGAAAAAGATGTTATACTCTTCTCACCAAAAGTCTACCAGACCCAAAGGGGTTTTATGAGTAAAGTAGGACTAGATCCTATTACTGAAATTGTTCCAAAATATAGAAAAAGAATGGATTCCAATCATTGTTACAAGGCTAGCAAACCCTGTTTTCAAAACTGACACAGCACACTTATGAGTGTGCATACACGCCTCTAAACTAGAGATCCACTACTTTACAGATAAAACCTAGTAATATATTAACCTACTAAAGGCTTATCACAGGAATACAAGAATAGCTATCAGGAAGCCTAATATAATTCATGTAATCACAATCATCTAATACAAATTTTATAAAATTCAACATCTTCAAAAAATGGTAATTTTATATCTTCTTAAAGAACTAGGATTAAAATGTGTTTTAATTCAACAGAGTATAAAAGGGTACAAGAAAGGCTAAGAAAATCTGAAGGAACAAAATAAAGAGACATTGTCTTCTCATATGTTGTAATTCATGTAACATTCAAAGAGTTAATACAATTGCTGCAGAGAATAACCACAATGCCTGGACCTATTAATAATTTGACAGGTGTGTGCCATACTTTTATTACTATTATGACTACTCATCTTCCATCTTCCCATTCACAAAATTCGACACCTGCACAATACCATATTGAAGGCCACATCTGAAAGACCCATTTCCTGACTTTTGACCTCACAAGAATACAGCAATAAACGCCTTGGGGTGCACAACGGCCTTAAAAACACACGTACGGGTTCCCTCAGGACTCCCTCGCCACCAGCCCCACTTAGCTGCTGGTGCCAGTGAAGAAAGCAGTCTGCCCAGAGAAAAACCATCCACCTTTAGCACCTCACCTGGTCAGACCTGCGACCTTTAGAAGCCAAAGCCGAAATGAATTCTGGACATCACCTAGTGTAGCTGGAGCTTTCCCACAGTTACCAAATGAGACACCAAGCTTCCCAAATGTATACCACTGGAATGATGTTTAGTTTCTTATGCTTGCTTAAGGATTGAAATTTATCTGGAAAATTCTAAATATTATTATAGGTATAGAAATGTTAGCTATAGAAATACAAAACTTCCTGTGTTCAGGAAGATGTATTAATGATTAACAAGAATTAAAAAGATGCTTATGTAAAAAGAACAAGAAATTGTTCAAAATGTCCCAGTTGAAAATATAATCTCCACTTAGCCACTGGGCAAAACCCCATCTAAGACTATTTGTTATCACCTGATTCAATCGCAGAATTCTATAGCTGCCTAGACTGGAGTTTCAATAATGGTGAATTGTTGAATATTATGGACGGCTCTATCCAAACACTTAAGACAAATCATCTCGGGCGGTTTCAAATTAAAAGCTTGTAAAATATGTAACCTCTCCTAGTTTTTGCAATTAATAGGGTACATCTGCAATTAGCCTGACTTACTGAATGCAGTGCTGTTGTCATTAGAAGATGTCTGTGAAAGGGCTGCTGTTATTATGGAGGCTCAAGAGACCAATCCCTCCTAGAGGGCAAACAGTGGACTGGTGGAAAACAACAGCCATAAATCACACTGTCAGGCGGCGGGGAGAGGAGCGAAGCACAGGCACATGAAGGCCATTCACAGGAAACACAGTACAGCCGCTTCCTAGGCAGGATTTACTGCACCTGTAATTAATTAAAATTTCCTTCAAGCTAAATCTTTAATAAACAAGGATTTGTGCTGACAATAAGAAAAAAAAGGGCTCCAGCAACACAATTTTACAACATACCTCGCAGAACAAGCCCAGCATCTATCATGTCTTCTATAAGGTGTATACACTGACTCTAAAGTTAATAGGAATGATACCACTTTGCATTCTATTATAATTTGTGTACTCAGAATGTGTCTGAAATATTTCAGATGCTTAAGGAATAATGTGGCCTCTTTCTTTTTTTTTTTTTTTTAAAGTTTTTTACTCCCTTCTAGCTTTTTTTAAAGCCACGTCTTTTTGCTCTAGTGTTTCAGAAAACAGGCCCTTTTAAAGAACATGTTGATGGGAGTTTCATCGGATGGCCAAGTTTTTGTGTTATTTGCTTTTTTTCTTTTTGAGACAGAGTCTCGCTCTGTCGCCCAGACTGGAGTGCAGTGGCGTGATCTCAGCTCACTGCAAGTTCCGCCTCCCAGGTTCACGCCATTCTCCTGCCTCAGCCTCCCGAGTAGCTGGGACTACAAGGTGCCTGCCACCACGCCTGGCTAATTTTTTGTATTTTTAGTAGAGACGGGGTTTCACCATGTGGCCAGGATGGTCTCGATCTTCTGACCTCATGATCCGCCGGCCTCAGCCTCCCAAAGTGCTGGGATTATAGGCGTGAGCCACCGTGCCAGGCCATTATTTGCTTTTTTAACCACGCCCTGCACTTCACTGTTTCCATCTGGGGCCAAATGTATCTGAACATGAGAATAAAAGGTCTAGATGATCTTGAATGACCATGAACATTTTTGATAAAGTAGATGTGTACCTTCTCTCTAGACTACATACTGAGTCAATCAGCAATGCCTCATTCAGCATCTTTTCTTTTCCCAACTACTGAGGTGAAGAGGCCTAAATATTCTTTGTTTCTAACAACAGCAAGAATTACCTGAGTAAATGTTACCTATTAGGGACCACACTAAGCTCTTCATACATACATATTAACCCAAAAAGTCCTAACAAGTTTACCAAAATTTACCCATTTTATAAGTGATCAAATCAGGCTCAGGAAGGCAAGTGATTCGCCCAAGCTTGCAAAGTTATAAAACAGCAGATCCAAGATTCGAACCCTGGTCTTGTAAGCACAAAACCAATGCACTTAAAACTGCATGCTCTTGTTGCTTTTCCCACTCTTATGCATCTACATGTCATGAATTGATCAAAACGAAACAAAACTCTTTAAATTACCTAAGATGTTACAGAACTACTAGAGACTACGTAGCAAAAAAAGGTAGGAGAGAGACAACTGTTTCAGAACATAAGCAATTTATCATTATGTATCTTCCAATAAATTGAAAAAAAAATCCTTAATCATTAAATAAACTTTACAAGACAGTGCTAAAGATGTCACCACCTACTGTGAGTTATGGGATAGGTATCACAAGACTGCCTTCTTTATCTCTTCATTTACTACATTTTCTTTCCCCAAGGAAAGAGTTGGCTTTTTAAGGTTAGTTAAAAACATCCTTTATTTTTTTTGAGCCCTAGCAACATCAAACACCTGAAATGCAGTGTTTATTGTTGTTTTAACAAATAAATATTAATCAACTCACATGAAAGTTGCTCTATATTAGAAAAAAGGATCACGAAATATAATCAGAAAAAGGAAATCTTGAACTTTTATTAAATGCGATTTCAAGTGACCATTAAAAGAGATTCAGAAGCCTAAAAATTTCTTTATCAGATTTCATCATTTGGTTGAAACTATCAGTTGTATATTTTTTTGCATGGCTGCTGGGTGTACATTTGACAATTCTAAATTATGCTGCCAATCAGAGACTATTAACAAAGATAACATAGGATCAAAGGGTGAGAGAGGTGGGAAGCTAAAGGGCAACTTGGGGAAGAAGAATGATAGATGTGCTTAATTGAGAAATTGACCATTTGATATTTTTCCAAATGAAAAATTTTCCTTTTTTTTTTTTTTTGAGACAGAGTCTCGCTCTGTCGCCCAGGCTAGAGTGCAGTGGCACAGTCCAGGCTCACTGCAACCTCCGCCTCTAGGGTTCAAGAGATTCTCCTGCCTCAGCCTCCCGAGTAGCTAGGACTATAGGCGTGTGCCACCACAACCAGCTAATTTTTGTATTTTTAGTACAGACAGGGTTTCACCACATTGGCCAGGCTGGTCTCAAACCCCTGACCTCGTGATCCACCCGCCTCGGCCTCCCAAAGTGCTGGGATTACAGGCATGAGCCACCACGCCCGGACAATTTTCAAAATTTATGTCATACCAGCTACAACAAAGCATTTGGAAAATAAAGATAATCTACTTGAACGATAAACAAAACAATTCTGGCATTATTATTCTTTTAAATATTTCTAAAGAGAAATTCTCTTCTCTTCCCTGTTCCTAATACATCCAGTATTGAATGTCCCAATGTCAGAGTACCATTATTAAATTCAGACAGAACAGCTGGTGGGCACAGAAAGCTCATCCACTGTAAAAAGAAATCACAGCTGATAAGGAAGTCAGGCATTAGACGCTGAGTTAGAGGACGAATCACCACAAACAGAATTTTTGAAATATGAATAAGAAACATAGACTCTATTGTAATTTAACACACGTGTAAGCCAGCAGGTATGCATGTGTGGTGACAGAGATCTGCACATACACAGAAGATCGAAGGTGCAGAGGAAGCAAATACCCCTTCAGTAGTTGAATCCAGAAACCAAAGTTATGATCTTAGAAATGTCAATAGTAAGGCCTATGGAAAGGAACTATTAATACATTTCCAATGTGTCGTCACCACAAATAAGCCAATATTAACATTAATGAAAAGTAATAAATATAGGGCTTCTAAGTTAAGAATATAGTTTGATACATATAAAAGTACATATTTTTGATCTTTTGCCTAACAGTTTACATCTTTAGTGATCTAAGATACTTTATAATGGAAAAGGAACAGTAGGAAGAGTTAAGAGTTTGAGTAAAAACACAAGGAAACTGTAATGCTGTTTTTCCTCAAAAGTTAATTAAGAATCTTCAAGTTAGAGTCCTTGGTAAACTGTAAAACACTGAAAAAATTATTAACAACCATATGTATGCAAGTGTCTGTGAAGGTAAAACAACCTCAGAAGGTAAAGCCACTGCAACCAAAAGTGAAATATCTCTTCTTAGAAGTTTGCCCTCCAAAGTCAAGGAGACAAATTTCACCAAATTTACTGTCAATTCTATTTCCATAATGAGTCCATGTATGTGGTTTACACGAAGGCAGTTCTTCAAACTATGGTGACAAAGGAACTGGAGGCAAGCCATGATCCAGGTGAAGGTGTCCAATACACACACTTTACTACCCCAAAAGAAAATGAAAGGAATAACATTTTTTTAAATTGCCTTTATAAGACAAACATCAGCTAATGAGTCCTGCCACAGGATTTTGCAGCACAAAACACTAAGAGATGTTAACAGATAACAGAAATGAAAAAGGAACCACAAATGTTTTACAAGGGTAGTGACAGGATAGTTTAAGGTTTGACAAACAATTTAAGGTTTGACTAGACAACAATCTATACTGCTATTATCTTCATACTGCTAAAAATCACTTTTTATAACTCACAGCATTTACCCTAATTTATTAATTATCTTATCCAGTTTATTTTCCATTTATCACTTAAAATTCTGGGCAAAGTCAGTTGGTTTTAACAATAACAGTGTAAGCAAAATTCCATCTCGCCTTATTTGTGCTACCAAACCATAGATTTTTCTGAGTCACTTCTATCAAAAGTTTGCTTTTCCATGAACACAAACACAACAGGAATCCTGGAGTTTCGTGGTCCCCGTGCATCTGACTCCGTGAGGCAAACACTCCATAGCCCTTGCAGCCGGCACTGCTTTCCTGGGCCCCGAGAACGAACTCAAGAGCTCAGAAGACTCAGGAAAGAAAGAACTAGCTCCTAAGAGACTGCTGCTTCTCCCCAATAATGTAACCTGCAAATTCACAGTGAAACTGCGTGATTATTATTTATTCAGCAAATGCTTATGGGTCACCCGGGATATAAAAATGAATCAGACACAGTCCCTACTCAACAGAGCTCACAGTCTGGATGGTTAGACAGATGAGAAGAAAAAAGGAAGAATACAACGTATCTATGCTACCCACAGGAGCACAGATAAAGCTCTTTTTTGATACTGTGATATTACCAAACTCTAAGTGAAGAAATACAACTGTCAATACATGACGATCAAGGATTCAAGGAACAAAACACAACTAAAAAGCAACAATACTTGCGAAATTCTCAAGATGGAAGGTTAAATGCATACTAACAAATGCATTTACCAATTAAGAGTTGTTATTTTACTTCTGTATCCACCTTCCTAAAACTGTTTGAAGCCACTAATGCGCAAAGTCTCTCCTTACTGGACGCAGCCACCTGACTTATGACTCCAACCCACACTGCCAGGCTTGTGCCCTGTCTGAGATGATTCGTATTTTACTGGACAACAGACATTGTCACAACACCACCACAGACTGTTAGAACAATAAGACCTATATTCATAACTGTTCTGAAAACACAGAGCTCTAAAGTAAGTCAATAATAATAAATTAACTTTAAATGCAGGAAAAAAAACACAGGAATATACATTTGAGAAACACATGGATCAGAGAAAAACCAAATATGTAAAATGGAGGGCATTAAAACAAAACAAAAAGGTACTGAAATATTGTGTTACCTTTTTGTGGGTATAGGAACCGGTTTCATGTAGAATTGCCACTCTGAACGGAGGCCACCACGTGTGAAATTCCTTCACCCACTGATGCATCACTGTTGTTGGACAGACAATTACAGTTGGACCCAACCCCTCAAACCTGCATCCAAACGTCCAAGAAGAAAACAACCATGAAAGAGCATATACAGTCATCAACTGCTCAAAAGATCCCCCAAAACAACAAACAAAAAACTTAGTTCAAAAAAACAATGCTAACTATGGAAATTTATTGATATTTTCTTTAAGAAAAAGTTACTGATGTTAAAACCCAGTAAGTAAAATCTCCATAATCTCATTCATCAATTAGTGGATGTAGGTGTTAAGAGAAAACACTTAATAATATATTAAGAGATATAACATCTATAGTAACATAAAAGATAATCAAATATTATTTAACAAAAATACTCTTTTCCCTTCTACTACAGATTAGTGAAGTTTTTATACAGTGTATCTTAACCTAAGTGAACATAATAGAATCTTAAATTTGTCTGAAGTTTTATAGTCTACCAAGAGTTTTCAAGCCACAGAATTTCAATCTCACTGCCCTAGGAAGCAAGTAGGCCAGAAATGCTCCACTGATGGGGGCTCATAAGGCTGGCATGGCCCAGGTGACATGGCTACCAGGGGACAGAGGGCTGCCTAGCAGCCAGTCTTCACTTACTGCAGCCTGTCCTCACTACACCACCCTGCCTGCTCCTCTACACCACCAAAGCACCATGGAGGAGCATCCGAGCGAGTGTTCTCTCCTGGGAAGCCCACACCGACAGTGTACAAGCTGGCACTGCTGTGTGGGCAGGTAGTTCGGCAGCAAAATCAAGAGCCTCAACAGCACCCATGCATTGACCCAGCAATCCCAATAAAAACATTTACACACTGGGATACACACTGGAGCATTCTTTATACTGCAGAAAAAGTGGGTGCTACCTATGTCCATGGAGAAGAGGAAAGCTGAATGAACTATCCCATTTCTTTAACAAAGCATGGGCCAGTGGTTAGAGGCACTGCCTGGATCTGAATCCAACTCTGCACACATTGTATGATCTCGGGCACACCATTTAACCTCTGGGAACGTCAGTTTTTCATTTTCAAATGGGAATAATAACAGTATTGATCTTATAGGGTTATTACGAAGATTAAATCAGTTAACATCTGTAAAGTGCTTAGAACAGGACCATATAGAAAATACTATAAGATTCTGTTAAATAAGATGGAATATCATATAACTATTAAAATCATTTTGAAGAAGTTAATAAACTAGAAAAATGTTCACCATAATTTTTAAAAATTATTTATGGAATCACCCCAATTTCCTTAGACATAGGTATACGTAGAAAAACTGGTTGTGGCCATTGTCTCAACATGCATTCCCCTCTCCCTTTTTCCTGAAGAATCAGATCTCTGCAGGTGCCCTCCTTCTTCCTTACTGCAGACACACAGTTTATGGGACTCTGACCACTGCCTGGCTCAGAAGCAGGAATCCTGGCTCATCTATAACCTGTCAGTGCATGGTACTCCCCTGAAACTCTCACTAGTCCATGAAGCTGGCCTGGCAAGACTGACCAACTTTGTAAGGAAAAATTACATTCTGGGTTGGGAGAGACTTTTCTCTCCTGGTCTTTCTGGCTACATGTACAGACCAATGGTCACTGGGTTACAGTGATAAGGAGATCTAATGATTACAAGGACACCTGGCCTTAGGCAAAAATTAAAGTATCTGGGTCCCTGAAGACATCATTGAGCTGCTGATCATGCTGTGTCCACAGCCTCCCCCTCTGTAGGTTTCTAGGTGTACCATACATTTGTGAATGTTTAACCCAATTTGAGGCCAGGTTTCACTTAGGTGCAGTCAAATATCCTGATACGTCCTACACTGTATTCCCTGTCTGCATCTGCACTCCTCCTGCCCTTCTGGGACAAAGGGACAGTGTCCCTTTTCTTGTTTGAGACCAATCCCTTTAGCTAAGCTCTTGAGCTTGTATCTCCACAAGCGGCACTCCCATTACTGTAGCCCATTAACCTTCAGTCTTGCTGGGAGTTGGGTGCCAGTCAGTGCATAAGAAGAAAATTAAGCAGAAGTCAAAACTAACCGTGGCAACCTCTTCAACAACACTCAGCTCATGCTACAAGAGGCAACTAAAAACTGGGATTGACTGAGGGCATCACAGGGCCACACGCCTGCCTCTCACACACCTGGAGCAGAGTCACTGCACTCTGCACACTGTCATTCCTCTCCTCCACTCCCTTTTCCTGCCCCACAAAGATGTTGACTGTGTGAAGCAAAATGCACATACATTACTCCACTGTATACACTACCCCTTCTATCTCACTAATTCCCACAATTTCAATTCTAGATGCTGGTAATGCCAAATCTAAGTCTCCAGCCCAGATCACTCTTCTGAACTCCAAACCACCACACACTAGAAATCTCACTGCCGATATCCCCAAAGCACCACACGCCATCCTCCCCTACCTGGCTGTCCCCTGTCCCCGTGCTTCCAAACCAATGGAAAGAATTTTGTCCCACTGTCCAGGTGCCCAAATCAGAAACCTAGGCCTCATCCTTGAGCAGACCTGCTTGCTCTCCACCACGAGCAACCTACACTGAGTTCACATCATTTTTACCTCCTGAATCCTTTCAGTCGCCATGTCTCTCCGTCTACACTGTTGCTATGCCAGGTCCAGCCACTCTCCTCTCTCATCTGGGTTACTGCATCTCCGAGGATGATTATTTCAAACAGTAAAATTTGAATTCCTCATCCTCTCACTTCAAAGCCTCTAATGACTGCCCACTGCTCTTGCGACAGAGATTAAACACCTGGACGTGGCCTACGAGGCCACGAAGACTGACCTCTGCTCATCTCTCCTGCCTTACCTCTCACTGCCATTATCCTACCACTTGCTCCTGTGGCTAGCAGCCCACCAGCCTGAACCGTCTTCCCTTCCTCCAATCGACCTTCACCATGTCCTGGTTACCCTCTTACCCCTCCAGCTACCTTCTACTCAACATTCAGATCTCTAGCTTCCTCGACAAAGCCTTCCCTGTCCCTTTCTCTGTAAACAAGTTAACGACTCTTCCTTAGTGCACTCCACATTAACCCTGACAAAACACAAATCACCTTTACTGTAATTGTATGAGATCCTCCCTAAACTCTGTGAGAGCAGAGATAATCTCTTCTTCAAATGATCTCAATGCCTACCTAATAGCAAGCAATTAATGAATGCTGGCTTTATTAAATTAAAACATTTTTTAAGATTGGAAGAAAATATATCAACATGCTAAAAGAGATTATTTCAGAGTTGGGGAATCATAAGTGATTTTTGTTTTCTTACTAGAGCTCAGAAATAAATTATTCCTGAACTTAAAACAATTTTTGGCCGGGTACAGTGGCTCACACCTATAATCCCAACACTTTGGGAGGCCGAGGCGGGTGGATCACCTGAAGTCAGGAGTTTGAGACCAGCCTGGCCAACATGGTGAAACCCCGTCTCTACCTAAACTATAAAAATTAGCCGGGTATGGTGGTGAGTGTCTGTAATCCCAGCTACTTGGGAGGCTGAGGCAGGAGAATCACTTGAACCCGGGAGGCGGAGGTTGCAGTGAGCTGAGATTGTGCCACTGCACTCCAGCCTGGGCGACAAGAGCGAGACTCTGTCTCAGAACAAACAAACAAACAAACAAAATACAATTTTTACAAATAACTGAAGAGTAAATCATACAATGCTTGAAATATTAAAAATCATCTACTACACAACTGAAAAATAATTTGTAGTTCTATAGAAAAACAATGAAATTTTGGTAAAGCCCTAACTTAAATGAGGCCTACCCTTATACTCCAACGTAACAAAATAACCTATGTCCACTTTGAAACCCTCCCTGCCTCCAGCTACAGTCACTGTCCCTGCCCTTCAACTGGGTGGAAAGGGCCAGACTACAAGAAGCCAGAGGCTACAAGAGACTCCGACACTCTTCCTACAGAGTTTCTAAGCCATGCTCCTCACCAAGGCAGGGCCTGTCCAGGTGCCCCTTGAGCTCCCCAAGGAGAGTGGGACTCTGCCTGGCCCCTTCCATGGCAGCAAGCCTTTCTAAAAGGATTAAATGCACCAGCTTCTTTCTATCCTCCAAGGGGAATAAAAGAGTTATCATCAATATGCACTTAGCAGGGATTAGGAAACAACCAATCAAAAGCTGTCTAAAATATTTTTACAACAAACTCACATTCAAATAAGCATAAACACATGCATATGTTTTTTCAGGTTATACAGTATTTTTTTCTCTTTTATAATGTGCCTTCTGCAAACTGCTACATTGATGACTCACATTTTGTTATCTAAGGCTAGTATATTCTTCTGGCTGAACATCTATCTGGCATTATCAAGATGCCCTTTAATTTCTGCCATTTTCCCCCTTAGTAGAAAAAATTGGAGATTTTCACGCTGAGTTGAGATCTAGGAGCAGACCTAGACTGTTGCTGGACCACAGCAGGACAATCAACTCCATTAACAGTCACATCGTCAACTGAACCACCCTTTCCTAACTCTTAATACCAGTGAGATGAACATGAGTAATGGCTAAGTGTACTACAGTGATTAGCATCAATTACCAAACAGACTACAATTCCTTTAATCTTTGATTACCATTGATTACCTAATAAATTTAGGGAAAGCCAATAGCTCCATGGTCAAATATATCAACCTGCAGGATGGAAATCTGCTAGTCATACCCAGAACTTACCAGGAACTACAAAGTAAAATATTTATCCTTGAAAGTTTATTAAATTCAATAACATTAGGAATTACCAAATGATATCCAAGACTTTAAAAAATTAACTGAGTTTGAAAGTCAATTTATTTCCTTTTCATTATAAGATTGAGGGGCCTATCATTATAATATGAATGGCAAAGTGAAAAGAAGGTGGTGTATCCATTATGAAGGGGAACACAGCAACCAGTACAGATGTTTATTAACCATAAGCAATATGTTTCTCTGTCTTCTAGAAACACACATACAACACACATTTTTTAAAAAATAACAAATCAAACTTCTTTTACCATGAAGTTTCTTGGTATCACAGAGACACTGTTCCCATTTCAATGTTCATGGTCCTTAAAATTACAACACCAAAATCATCTCAAATTAGGGCCCCTCTACAGTTTGTAAGAGTTCACAGGAAATATACATAGCCAATGAGGCAATAACAGCTCACACAGAACTTCATTTGACCTTAAGAGCTATTTTTCTGTAAGACATAAGTATAGAGAACTCCCAAGTTCATCTGGTTCCAGAGGAGGATGTGTTATAAAGTTGTTAGGAAGATGTGGTCCAGTCCGCCCTGGTACATATGAGCGGGGGGGACCACACTCCTCTGTAAACTTCCACTCATGAGGAGCCCAGGTGTTTGTGGTGCAGCACCACATTCTCACAAGCCACTTCCACCAATACCATCTTAATAAAGACAATCTGGGATGTAGTCCAATATGCCACATTATTTCATTATAGAGAAGAGGATATGAGCATTGATAGTTAATTGATTACAGCTGCTGTTCATTATTAGCCTTGACTTCATTCTTAGTAGGATTGTCACCACCCAAGAGAGCATGTTTTAATTTTTAGATCAAAACTACACTGCAGGGATGACTTTAGTTCTCCTAGGACCTGAGCACTGGACTCCACATAAGTGTGATGATAATAGGAAGGGAAGCAAAGAAAAGAAATGAAATGGGAAATAAGAAAATCCCAGAAACCATTTAAGGAAAGAAAGAGTCCTAGAAACCATTTGGAGGAGTTTGGGGTTGTCTAGTTACCAAAAACACCCAACAGAGTTGCAGAAAACAAGCCAACCAAAGAGCTTATTTGAAACAGAAAAAGCATTTTATTTGAAACAGAAAAAGCATATTAAAAAAATTAACAGTCATAGATAAGACCACACTAAATGCCCACTTGGAACTTCAACTTTTCCTTTGGTCTGGAATGTTTTCACATGCTTCCAAGCAAAATGTAATAGAATTCTCATCTTTGAAAAAATCCCCTGCTTCAATATAACTTCCTTGTAACAACAACAACACGATGTTTAGCATTTAAAAATCTCCAAGTGTTTTCTTCCCCTTCCTACATCTATATAAATGCAACTGGCGTTCTAAAATATTCTAAAACTCCAAACACTCCTCACAGAAGTATTGATCTGCTAACTTAACGAAAGAGTAAGAAATAAAACACTAAACTCTGGAGACTAAAGAAACATGATCTTGACTCAGTTTATGGTTCATATTTGGCTCTCTACTAAGCATTTCGCTGCTGATGAGCTGGAGAGTAGGAAGAACTTTCGGCAGTTGCTGACTTCAGGCACACTGACACTACTGTAAAGGTTATCTCCAAATCATATATAGGGAGTGTCTGAGGTTTCCTGGGCACACCCCTCTAGCAACTACCTTGCTCTTACTCTTTATATAAGCCTACTGAAACACAAGGAGCTCGGACTTATCTGGGTTCAGTATGATGAAATATCCTACATAATTTACCGACCAATATTTTTACCAATACTGATTTCTACAGAGTCAATTTACAGTTTAAATATGGAAGTGCTCATAGTACTTTCTTTCAAAATAAAGTATTTCAGTCCTACCATATCAAATAGATTAAATGCTTATTCTTCTGGAATACAAAAGCCTTAATAGTTTATTTAAATTTCTAAAGAGAATAAAGATTAACATCTAAACATAGTTTTCTACCATTTTAGGTAGTCACTTACGTTTTGGCATTAGAATTTATTACATAAAGTTCATAGATTGGGAAGGGCAGAAAACACAGGGATCAGACAAGTAACTTCATTCAAAAACAAGAGAGAGAGCAAGCTATCTAGAAATGCTATCATGCACACTCATTATAAAGGAAATTAGGGAGAATGGCTTCTTCAAAGCTCCAACTCTCCCCATGAATAGACTTTGTACTTACTGTAATGCTCACCTGGTCTCCTGCCAGAACAAATATTTTAATGTAAAATTTAATAAATGGAACTAAAGGTATTATGTCTAATTTAAAATTCCATATTGTGTAAACTATTGATATTAACATAATTGAGTTTGTAAACAATCCCTTTGTAGAAGCTAACCTTAGACATCGTATTGACCCAAAATATCTAGTGGGGCTCATCTGCAAAATGAAGCATCAATGCCTGGAATTCATTAAAAGTGTTACATGTTTAATTTCTCCTGCCCTACAGCTCCATTGTCTCGTAAAATTTTTCCTTTGATGTCCCCCACTAAAAGAATTAAAGGAATATTGTAATTGAAATGTCATCAATAATTCACAAGACCCTCCTCCACAGCAATACATCTGATGAAATATTAATTGAGCTCCACAGACTGACAGTCTGCAGAGGAGCACTTGCCTGTAATTTGAACCACGAGTCCTGATCTTGCTGTAGCTCAGACCTGCCAAGAAGGCAATTATCTGGATGGTCTTGCCCAATCCCATTTCATCTCCCAGAATTCCTCCTGCCTGCTGGCAGTGCAATTCCCACAGCCACCTAACACCTGTCTGCTGGTACCTATGACAACAAACACCAACAAGAAAAGAGAAAATGGCAAATGGTGGATAATACAGATCATAACAGAAAGTACTCATGAATTAATCATTTGGCTAGGTTCTAGTACCAGTCAGAGAAACATGCGGGATGTGTGTTTTACATGAGTATTATATTTATAAGGTCATACATTTTTGATCACCTAGGCATAAAAATCACAAATTTTTCTTTACAAAACATTAACACATTTCTAATTAAACTGATAGATGGGGTAATTAGAGACTATTTCCTTTCTTTTCAACATTAGAAATAGCTTGCTAAACAAGCATAAACTTACTATTTTTTACTCACTTTCTGGGGGAAAAAATCCCAAATATTTTTCATATATAAAGTTCCATTAATTTTTCTATAAAAAAGGGGCACTAATGTTTATTTTTTCAATCTGAATAGCATCAAAAAAGCAGGACAGAGAACACCACAACCTATAGCTTATACTGTTGAAAAGTCACTTGGTGATCATATTATCTTTTAATAGAAAAAATTAAATTTTAAGGCCATAAACAAGTCTGAATAATAGGTCTGCTCTCAAAATTAGAACATAACAGATGATTCTGTCATATTACTAGCAGATGCAAAAAAAAGCACAGTTTAAAGACTCAACAATACAAAAGGTCTTTTTAATATTTCAAAGCAGAAATTGATTCAGGGAGTTTACCAAAGGTACGAAAAGATCATAGCTATTAAGATTTTAAATAAGGAATATGGGTCAAAGAGAAATAATTTAACCTTAACCCCTCCCCCTGCAAAAAACAGAAGTTGATATTTTTCTTTCTCCATCAATGATATGTTTAATCTATAACCTAAAAATAAAGTTAAAAAAGGAAAAATACAAAAAAATTTTCGGAGAGTGGAAGAAACACTTAACAACAGGGAATGGTATGAAGATTATATCCCAAGTTACAAAATCTAAAGCAAAAACCACTTGAATTAAAAGATGATAGGTTAGATGAGGTGGCTCATGCCTGTAAATCCCAGCACTTTGGGAAGCCGAGGCAGGAGGATCATTTAAGCCCAGGAGTTCAAGACCAGCATGGGCAACATAGTAAGACCTCATCTCTACAAGAAAAAAAAAAAAAATTTAGCCAGGAGTGGTGGCACGTGCCTGTAGTCCTAGCTACTTGGGAGGCTAAGGTGAGAGGATTGCTTGAGCCATGGAGGTTGAGGCTGCAATGAACCATGATTGCACCACCGGATTCCAAACTGGGCAACAGAGTGAGACCCCATCTCTAATAAATAAATAAAAAGATGATGCAAGATAAGGCATTTTTTTTTCAAAGAAAATATCAAGGCTGATGGGCTACCCACCTTAAAAGAAGATAGTTTTGTTGTTTTGCTGTCCAAATACTTACTATCTGGTACCTATAGGTATGTCTACCTAAAATCTCATTTTGGACTTCAGCTCATTTAACTGGTTTTATTTAATCTCCTCTCAGTAAATACGTCATAATTAACTTTCTCCCAGTATTTTGCAAAGCAATTCTAGAAGTTTGACTCTAGCTGTTCCATTATTACCTATTACATAAGGAAAACTCTAAATGAGAACTTTGCTGCTTATTAAGTTTGCTAATTATAATACACACACTGGATATGCACCTTGGAGAAAAGAACTAAAAATCAAAACACGATGAAGTGTAGTACAGATACAAGATCATTTAATTTGGGAAGAAGGACAAATTCCGAAAATATGTGGTATGTAATCAGAGAATAATGGCTACCACTTAAGGAACCAACTGCTGAGGAGGCACCAGGCCAGGTGGTTTGGACACAGCCTCACAATCAACTTGCACAAAGGAGATTATCAGCACACTTTATAATTAGGAAACAAAAGCTCAGAATGGTTAGGTAACTTGCCAAAGGTGACATCGCTAGAAAAAAATGAGCAAGCCAGAGCTGAAATCCAGAACTGTATGTTTCCAAAGTGATTCTGGAAATGATCTAGACCAATAGTTCTCAGCCAGGGGTAATTCTTCTCCCTATGGGACATTTGGCAATGTCTAAAGACATTTTTGTTACAACCAGAGAAGTGCAATAGTAGAGGCCAGAGAAGCTGTTCAATATCTGATACTGCACAGGACAGTCCCCACAGCAACAAATTATTTAGCCCTAAGTGTCAATTGTGTCAAGGTCGAGAAACCCTCATTTAGAACAAAAGCTGGTTCATGAACTGGCTACACTAGAATAATCTCAACTTTTGAAAAAGACACACTGCAAAAAGCTCTCCAAAAAAACTGATGTGCAATTAGTTTCCAGAATCACTACATTCTAGTCAGTTGACCTCTTTTTGCTGAGATACAGAACAACTGGACCAGCTCCTCCAGTCGGGGAACAAAATCTCCCAGTGATTATTCTAGTGTATTACTCCTACACCACACTGCCTCCATCCTACATGGGTCCAACAACTCTTTTTGCTTGGGGCTCATCAACTTAACTAAAGTAGGGAGAGTGCGGAAAGGAGCAGTTGAGAAATTATTAAAGAAATGGTAAACAGCATAGGATCCCAAAAGGAACCTGAGAGGGGGTTAAGACAACTAGATTCTGTGTGGCCCAGGAAAGGCAGCATACAATGTGCTGGGTGTTTCCTCATCTACAAATCTAATCTTCGACGGCTTTCAAACAGCATGTGAGTGTGTTTACAAGAAGATGAACAGCACTAAGAAAATGACATTAAAAAAAATCTTACTAGGCAGCATGTAAGTCATATCTCTAGCAGGATCCCCAAAAACTAGGGATAGTTACAAAGATAGCAAAGAGTGGCTCTTTCTTTCCACACAATACACGAAGGCCCTCAGATGGTATTTAAAGGAAATTCACTTGCAGATTAAAAGCACTAGCCACACAGCTGGTAGATGATATACATAGCTGGTGTTGCTAGATGAGGAATATAAGGGCCTGAGCTCAGGTTTCAGCTGTGCCACTAACTGACTTTGGTTTTATTGCTTTACCTTCCTAATAATAAACAGTGTAAACCAATTACATAGTTTAAATAAAAACATATTATAGAATCTAGTTTTCAAAATTTTTGAAAAGCATATAAAAATTACTCTTTAGGGACAGTTAAAGATTTTTATGAATATACAACATAAAAAAATTTATTCTGCTATCCCTTGAGACTGAGGCATCACAATGTGACCACAAATAATTGGTGTACATTGGCATTGCCACACTAACCCAAGATTGCATTTACTAGTGTGGCTGAAAATAAGGTCAAAAGATTGAAGTTTGTCATTTGACTGCTAAATTAGATAGACAAATATACTTGCTGGGCAAACTTTCAAAACAGAAATTTAAAAGTTAAACACTATCTTGCAGAAAATGTACTTAAATGGCTAATTGTACCTTCTGACTCCCTTGTGTACAACTCTATACCCTGTCAATTCAATTCCACAGAATGCAGCAAATACAGTAAAAAAATATATCTACAGTTTAAAATTAAATTGGCCCCGCTAAAACGCAATCATAAAAGAAAAATGGAGACTCTATCAATCCTATTAATTTTTTTCATACAGCAAAAGAAAATGAACAGAAGTTTTATGACATAAAATATTTAAAATCCTGTTTTTGCAGAGATTAAAAAAACACAATACTTTCCAGGAATGTGCAATTAAGACTAATTTTTAAAAAACGAATATTATTTATATTAACTACTATAGAGTTTTGTTAATACACTGAATCCTAAATACTTTTAGTAAGCAAAGTTTAGTACTATTAATTGTGAAATATCTTTGCTAGAAAATCTGACATTTATACAAAAATGCAGACTCAACTTGATCCTTGAGGATATCTGCCAAATCACTTACTACAAATACACAGAAGTATCCTGTCTTTTTTAAATCAATTTAATCTATAATTTGGGTATTCCTTTTGCTAGTACAACACTGATGGTATTTGGCTTGTTTCTTAACAAAGAATCACTGTAGAGAAAACAAAAAGAGTTGCCAATAAAAGTGGCCTTTATTTACCTTTCCATAGTTAATTCTCATTTGGGAGAAGCAATAAACAAAGCAACCACCTCTGTAAATATTACTACAGATTCAGATTTCAACTTCTACACGGCTGTTCCTCTGTCCAGTTAAAGCAATCACATCAAGTCACTTCACATCTTTAGAGTTTGGCTTTCTATAATGTTTAGTGGGATAAAAAAACTACTCTTCACTCTCCCCTACCCCAATGGAGAGAAAAATTAAAACTATAATATAAGCTCTTTGAGAGAAAATATAAAGAGCATGCTGTTTTTAAGTAGACTTCTTCCACAAGTTTAGGGCATGGCTGACAGCTGAATCTATAAAGGAGACCAAACTTAATCATCTCGAACAAAGAACTTTGCATCCTGCTCCCAACTACAAATTGATTATACAAAAGAGACAGAAAGAAGCTATGTAATGGTTTAACTTCCTATATGCATCTAAGAAGCCTTCCTAAAGTATCTTGTTAAGTAAATCCCAGGAGTGACGAGACTGAAAATGTTCCTCAGTATTTACATTCATCACGGGAGACTGGCCAGCCCTTAGAGACAACATGAACACATCTATCAGGCAGCATCCGGTCATCTCCAATGCTTGGCCACTTACACATGAAACCTGGCTTCAAATAGCAACTTAATCATCAAGGTGTTGCCCATATCTTCTCTTTTGACATTAGAATGACATCCTACATAAAATATTTAGATGCACATTTGGTCAGCTCAAAAATATTATACCCTCAGGTACAATATAAGACACTCAAAAAAAATGTCAAAAGTTTTTTATTTCCACATAGAAGAAAAAAAATCCTTCCCAATATTGATTTTAATATGCAACTCTTCCTATTAATCTTATTTAAGAAATTAGGAGTTTGGCACCTTAAAATTACTAAGAACAAAAAAATTATTCAACATAAATGGCTTTTAAATGTGTTGCTTTTAGTCTGCTGAGGCAGGTCCATATAGATTCATCAGTTTACAAACATACCCAATGCACATTTTAGTCAACTTATTATCATCCAATTTTAATGAACAGCACGTGGCTATAATTTCATTTGACAGTATCTGTTTTTGCAACAAATTGCTGCAAGTACCTTCAGGGCCCACAGGTAACTACTATGTAATTCCTAAAATGTTAATTTGTACATAATGGCTTGATAGCAAATAGAAAGGAAAGAACATATGGTACATACTTAAAAAGCTTTTTGAACAGAAAACCTGGCACTTTAAAACCTTCGTCAAATTCAGCATCACTTTCCTCAGAATCGTCCTCCAGCTTCAGACGTTTCTCTTTGTCCTGCAGTCTCAGTTTATTCCATCTCCTACCATGAAAATAAAAATCACATTTCCATTATTTTGATCACAAGACAGATTTAAAAAGATAGCTCCTGATAATGTACAAGAAAAAACAGGCAAATTAGAACGGTCTCTTAGGTTAATGCTGCCATTATTACCCAAAACACTGATATTCAAAGAGGAAAAACAATTCTCTTCTCCAGCCATCTCAATTCATTTCTTATGTAAATTATTATAGCTGCTCTAGAAATATTTCTTTAAGGTCTCATTTCATTATCAAAACTACTTGCTCCTCTTCTGGCATACCCTAAGGGAAAATTTCTCTGCTGGTTCGTAAGACATGAAATTAGTCCTAGAAAAGATTCAGTAAAAATTTCAATATAATTGAGTGTCTTCACAACCGCAATACTATGTAACAAAAAATAGATTTATAATTACTATTTCTGTTCTAAAGATATGATAGTCACAGCATAAAACAACAAAGCCCCTTAAACATAAAGCAAATTTGGGGTCAAAATCACTGAATCAGGTTCACATTACTGATTACTTAACTGGGGGAAGAGGCATCAGCAATATACAAGCACTGATAGTGCTACCACTCAAAAAAATGTGTTCACTGAATAAAATCTAAGTTACAAATTTAGTAATATGATACTTTCAGATATAAAATAAGGTGAACACTTATATTTCAGAAGGAAATATATTTCATCTAAATATCTGAAAGTCTTAGCAATACACCAAGGTTGTGGAGAAGGTGCACCCATTTAACCAGACTAATTTTGCATTTACATAACTATAATGGACTCTAGTTGTCGTGAGTGGGGAAAAAAAAAAAGCCTCAAATTCTATTCACTTTCAAAATAAAAAGATGATGTTTTCATTCAGCATGGTGCAACTGATGCTCTGAATTTCACAAAATGGTGGAAATGGAATAAAACAATAATACAGAGAAATGCTTTCAAACTACAATAAAAAAAAAACTCATAGGAAGCGAGTAAGAGCAGCAACACATATAAGGCATTTATCTGCCACTGACTATGCAAGAGTAAGAGAGAATGTCCGAGGGAAGGCAAGAGAAAATGAAAGGGTAATACTACACATGCTGCCTGGCCAAAGGTATGGTGTGTTGTCCAGTATCCATTACAAAACCACACAGAGCCCAATGCTAGTATGTAGGTAGCTACTGGTGGACCTTAAAGCACATCCTCTGATAAACTCTTGCCTTGTTGAAAATTTCAACTCTTCAAGGTAACAAAAGGAAGGGCTAGCTGAAATTTACTTGTGATCAACAAGAACTGGTTATCTGAAATTGCACTACACGGTAGTAAAGGACCTATAAATAAGATCAATGAAGCACTGTTGGTCATTTCCAGAGAAGAACAGCAAATGGAAGAGGCAGTATATGGCCAAGTCTAAGGAAATAGCTATCATCTAACAACAGTTTAATAAGTGATACTTTTTATAAAAAAATTTAATGTCCTTTTTGTGCTTAACTTCTAAAGGCAATCTCTTCTTCTCCACTGGTATTTTTTTTCCTTAAAAATTATCTCCATGCAATGGACAAAATGAATTATCTCTAGGTGGCTATAAAAGTCTTCTGGGTTTCATGTTATTTACAAATTTAGTTAAATGCAATGGTGTACAACAATCGTTCTTGACAGGGGGCAATTCTGTCCCTTCAACCCCACCCTGGGGTAATCTGACAATGCCCAGAGATATTCTTGGTTGTTAGAACTGTGGAAGGAGTCGGGAGGATATACTACTACTGGCATCTTGCAGGTGAGTCCAGGTATGCTGCTAAACATCCTACACCACACAGGACAGCCCCCAAACCCCTCGGTAAAAAGTTATCAAGTCTCAAATGTCAATAATGTCAAAGCCAAGAAGCCCTGGCATATAGGTATCCCTTACTATCAAAACTTAGAAACTGAACAGATATATATACACTTTCCTGATACACATATCTGAATTCTTGATATATATACACTTTCCTGATACACATATCTGAATTCTTGCTACTCACTCTGAAATTCAGCAGTCGAGGAGTTTACATAATGAGAGAGTCCTCGGTATCAAAACTATGAACGCAGAGCCAAACTTCTGCATAACAAAGGATACTTGTATTTAGCAAACTTGTGGATAACATAAACCTTGGAAGAATCACAGCCACTTAAACATACTTCACTTTGCAATTTCTCCAAGATAATTTTACAGAAGGAGAAATAAAAACACCAGAATATATTGCCTTTTGAAGTTTGGCACAAGGCCATTAAATATTTTATATACAGGGTATCACTTTTTAAACTTTATTGATATATGATGACCATTTCCTTAGACTTAGCCAGTCAATCTTTGTGGCTGCTAAATTTCCCACCACATCACTCTGCATCGACAAGATTCAGTTTCCTCCTCCTCCCTCCCTCCTAAAATATACAGGCATCTTGTCGCCACAGAACTCAGCACCTAGGAAACCACATAAGCCACTACAGAAACGATTGCATTCTAGTGCCTTCCGCTTCATAAAGAAAGATGAAAAGGGCCAAACATTTATTCAGTTTGGCTAAAGGATGACTAAAAGTGGTGGGGAAAATCATTATTGCCTGCAAGTATTTGTATCATTGTGAAGACAAATTGCCCCAGTAGAATTATACACATATTAAAGACAGAAAATATCATGGTTATAAAACCACATGCATACAGAGCTCAGGCGAAGAGATTCTTCTGTTACATAAGCAATACTTCCTCATGTGACTTGTAGCCAAAATAGACCTGACCATCTGATGAGGGTCCACTGAAGCAGCACAGCTAAAGATGGGGCCGACAAGTACACCACAACACACTAGGGAAAGGGGGAGAACCAGGTTCATCTGCACATACACAGAAACGTGCCTTCCTCATCCCAGACGCTGCCAAGAGACTTTAAGGGCTCTCTTTAACATGTCTAACCAGCCTGTACTGTAGTCTGGCAGGCTGAGTAGTCTGTCTGGCCAGCAGATATAAAGGATTCTGTATATAAACATCCTGGGTTTGACATATGCAGAAGTGCAGGCCCAGGCACAAAAGTCTGAGCTCAGACTAGCTATAGTCAAATCCTGGTGCCATTTACTAGCTCATGAACCCTCAGCAAGTAACTTAACTTCATCAGCATCTAAGTTTCCTCCACTGAGATGGGGAGAACAGCAGCACCTACTTCACTGGGTTCTGGGAAGGATTAAATAAGGTGTCACATATAAAGCACCTTAGCACAGAACCTAGATTAGGAAGTGCTTAATAAACTACTATAGTATTATATAAAACCACATACATTTTCTGAAATCCTCACGACAACCCTGCAGCAGATACTATTACTATGTTCACTGAAAGAAGAGAAAGCAAGTTACGTATGTGGCCCAATGCAATGTGCATATTGCAACGTACTCTGTTTAACAGAACTACCTGAACATGTATACTTAAACAGAAACTATGATAGCTCATCAAATGGATGCTCAGTTAATTATTATGAATAATGTGCTCACCATAGGAGTAAAGATACCTAGTCTTCAGATGGTACCTGCTGGAATATCTCAATTTAAAAATTCTGTCACAAATTTGTAAATAGTAAACTGTCATTAAGTATGGCAGTCTTTTACATGATAGTAACAAAAATAGATACAGATTGACTTAAAATTGGTAGGGAGTGGGTAAGAATTAAAATCTGGGCCAAGTGAGCTGAAATCTTAAAAATTAGAAATGACCTCAAAATGTCTAAATTCTGTTATTTCAAAAAGTAGACCAGTTAACTGAGAAAAAGCAGAAGGGGGCAGTAAATAGTCCAATATTTACCCTTTTAGAAAACAAATAACTTTTTCATGTTCTCTATTCTCTCATTTTAAAAAATCCACACACGTAATAGTCACAGCTGCAGCCACATAAAACGAAGTGGTGGGCATGGTGTTCACTGGCTGTGTTTCTAGCTCCTCACACAACTGCCAGATTCAGCCTGCTGTCAACTCCACTGGCAGCCAATTACAAGAGAAGCTGGGAACAAACATAAACCTACAATTCCAGTCAGATGCAGACAGAGAAAACACTCCCTGGTTTCCCTACATTCAGGTAGGAATGAGAATCTGGCCCAGGCTGTGGGGCCTGGGGCTGAGACTGCAATAATCATCTGTCAGAAGCAACTCAGACCCAGCACAACCAGTTGAACGACACCAGGAACAATGCTTCCCCCAGTTGTAACCTATTAGGGTGCCGCATCAATGGAACCCTGAAAGCTAGTTGCTGCCATTTAAAGTTAATTTATTTTAGAAGAATTTTCAGCATTCCAAGGATGTTCAAAATAAATAAGTGGAAAGACACAGCTAGCTACCACCGTGCCATACCATGTATGCAGCCTCCTCATCTCTGTGCACCTGCATTCCTGTACTGTCCCCAAATCCTTCCCCTTACATATCCACACATTCAGCAGACCTTTCAAACCCTCACTCATGCAGCACCACCATGCACAGAAACCTCCCATGACCAGCCAGACTTAGGTGTCCTGTCTTCCAAGGGCCCTCCCAATCCCGTGACATCTTGGACACACCTGGGATCTCTACTACAGTGCCCATCAAGTGTAGCATATTGTGAAATCCATACCAGTGTCCTCCACTGGACTGGAAGCCACCTGGGGACAAACACTGTCTTAGCCATTTTTATAGCACTAGAGACTGGTATAATGCCTCCTCATGGCAGACCGTTAAGTGCTGAATGAATGAATGAAGTTCATAATTCGGTTAGGGAAAAGGAAGACACAGACAGAGAAGCGTGACTTGAAAATGGTCAAATGGGGTCATCCAGAAATGGGTTCTGGAAACTTTCTGTTCTGTCTCATTTAGAGCCTACCTCTTGCTGCATTTCCTACTCCTTCTACCCATATGACTTTAAAGCACTGCTCCTAGCTCTGTCCACTGGATAAAAATGGTTAAGGTTCGCTACAAAAAAATGACCCATAATGAGGGTGGCTGCAACATCAGAGAAGTTCTTAATTTAGAATCTTATAACAAAAAAAAAAAAAGATAAGGAGAAGGAAAGCTCATCATTTTGAACAATAAAAAGGTAAATAAATAAAAATTGTGTGAGTGATTTAAGTCTGAGCTCCATTTTTTGGGTTCATCACCAGTAGGTCTCCTCTGTAAGGAGCCTGGTTTCTGCACGCCAGCTGATGGAAAGAACCAGGAGCCCTGAGTTTGCTCCCAAGCTTCCCCAGGACCAGGTGGGAAAGGCTGGACAAAAGAAGCACCTTCTTATGAAAGAATTCTTATGATGGGAAAAAAGTCTAGACTTAAACTATATTTACATTACTAGGAAGGAAATAGTGTTTTTGATGTTCCCACTTTCATTTTTTTCTTTAATCTATACATGTAAAAGTCACAGCTGCACCCAAATAAAGTAAGTGTGTTGTTCATCTTCTTTTTTACTTTTTTTTTTTTTTTGAGACAAAGTCTCACTCTGTCACGTCAGCTGGAGTACAGTGGCACGATCTCAGCTCACTGCAACCTCCACTTTCCAGATTCAAGCAATCCTTGTGCCTCAGCCTCCAGAATAGCTAGGACTACAGGCATGCGCCACCATGTCCGGCTAAGTTTTGTATTTTTTGGTGTAGATGGGGTTTTGCCATATTGGCCAAGCTGGTCTCAGACTACTGACCTCAAGTGATCTGCCTGCCTTGCCTTCCAAAGTGCTAGGATTGCAGGCGTGAGCCACCATTCCCGACCCATCAGGGCATTTTCTAACTCCTAAAGCCCGTCTCAGGCTCCAGTGGTGGTCACTAGAAGAGAACCCAACAACAGACACAGATTTAAGATAACCACAGAGAAGTGAAAACCGAATGTAGGCAAAAGAGGTGCATTACAGGCATTTAACTGGTAAGGGGAGGCCTGAACTTTAGAAAATATAATGTAACATTGTTGAATCTGCCTCCTCCACCACAAAATGAGCCAAATAATGACTTTTTATGAGGACTAAATGAAATTATGTATGTACATTATACTTTTGAAACTACATAAATTTCAGATGCTATAACAGTTGGCAGATTACACAAAAAGATTGAGAAATTTTAATTAATTGCAGGTTAAATGTGAATAAAAAATAACAAATGTCAAAACACCTATTGCAGTCTTGAGCCAGCAGGAGCTCAGTTCAACCCCCAAGCATAGCAGACTGTCATGCTAGCTCACTCCATACTGGTCAGTCAAGATCAGCAGGACATTCCAGTCAGGACATCCTATCATCCAGGACAGCAAGGAGGCTGGAAATCAAGCCAAAAGAGAAGACACAAAAGAGATACAAGAGAAGGATCTGGTACATCTACCTCAGAATACAACTGTGAGAAACCATACTGCAATCCTGACCTACCTACACTTAGAACCAAGGGGCATGTTGCACGGTTTGTCCCCTAGACAGATGTCTAGTGCCCCCTAGTGTGTTCAAAGGAGAAATAATTACATTTCTTCCCAATATTGATACTGTACTTATATTTTTATAGATATTTTATCATTAAGTGGGCCTTAAGCTTATTTTAAAAAAGTATGAAAGGTACCAAAAGCATAACATCAATAAAACAAAGTTTGTAACAGCTAATGATTTTACTATGCCTATGATACGTTGAACAGCCCTTATCCAAAATGCTTGGGACAAGAAGTGTTTTGGATTTTGGAATATTTGCATATACACAATGAGATATGTTGGGATGGGACCCAAGACTAAATACGAATTCATTTATGTTTCATATATAACTTATACACATAGGCTGAAGGTAATTTTATACAATATTTTGTGCATGAAACGAAGTTTTGACTGTGTCTTGACTGAGACCCAACATATGAGGTCAAATATGGAATTTTCCACTTGTGGCATCACGTTGCTAAAAAATTTTCAGATTTTGGATTTTCGGACTAGGGATGGTCAACCTGTAATATCAATTGTTAAACTGCCTTTACTTGTGAAAGGTCACCTTTTCATACGTATGAGTATTCATTATACACCCTCCTTCACGGTTCTCACAGACCCTCATTTCAAGCATCTTACTGCCTTGGTGGAATCTTTGTGGTAACTTTTAGCTAGTGGGCATGTAACAAGAATAGCTAATACTTACGGAGTGCCTGATGTATGCCAAATATCTTATACATATCATCACCCATGAAGAAGGTACTGCTGTGATCCCCATCTTACAGGTGAGTGGATACACAAGACCTCAGAGCTACTCGGCTAGGCTCTGGCACTCACTCCATGGCCCGTGGTGTCTAACCCCTATGCTATATACTGCCTCCTTAAGGAAAGTCAGCTAGCTCTGGACAAGTTTTGTTTTGAGATTACATATACACACATACATACATATTTCTTAATTGGGTCAGAAAACAAATAGTAATTATGACTGACAGTGATACTGGGTACTGGGCACTATTTTAAGTATTTCACATTTATTAATTCATTTAATCTTTACAACCTAATAAGGGAGATACTATATTGTATGAGTCCATTTTCACTGCTATAAAGAAATACCCGAGACTGGGTAATTTATAAGGAAAGAGGTTTAATTGACTCACAATTCGGCACGGCTGGGAGGCCTCAGGAAACTTATAATCATGGTGGAAGGTGAAGGGCACCTTCTTCACAAGGCGGCAGGAGGAAGTGAGTGCAAGCACAGGAAAAACTTCCACTTTTAAAACCATAAGCTCTCATGAAAACTAACTATCGTGAGAACAGCATGGGGGAAACCGCCCCCATAATCCAATCACTTCCCATCAGGTTCCTCCCTTGACATATGGGGACTACAATTCAAGATGAGATTTGGGTGGGGACAGAAAGCCAAACCATATCAATACTATTGTTATTCTCTCTCTCTCTCTTTTTTTTTTAACAATTAAAGCAGACAGGGAGAAAGAAAGGAAGCTGTCCAAGATTACCAATGAGTTAAGGGAAAAGATTCAAACCCAGATAATCAAGTTCCAGAGTCTATATTCCTATCTGTTACATAATACTGTCTTCAAAAAAGTATTTTCCAAACTCCCTAGTACCACCCCTTTTCTCACAGTGCCAGCGAAGGGTCCTCTAACTGCCACAGAACGAAAGCAATTGCACAAGAACAAACCAAATTCTAAAACTTCAATCCAAATGTTGTCTTAAAAAAACATCAGGACTAAGGTTTAAAGAAGGGAAAGATTGCCTTCATTTTTGTACAATAACATGATTCCTTCCCCACCTTAATAGTGTGCAAAGTAAGTCAAAACTCACTCTTCACTACACCCCTGCAAACTTTTCCAAGTAACAGTAAAATCAGTTTAGCAGTTCTTTGAACTATACATAATATAGGCTGAACAATCATGTAATACACATTTTATACTAGACAAATCAATGTACACAACTGCCCATACCAACACACAAAAGGGACAAAATACACATATTAATGGGAATTATCAAATATTAGTTGCCTGAGATCATATTAATAAAATAAACATGCCCTCTCCAAAACTTCAAGGAGGTCACCTACCGTGGTGCTCAAAATTCAAAACAGACCTTACTGCTCTATTGTAATATTTTTATGTTGCAAGGATCATTGTACACAGAGCAGTTTAAATCTACACCGTCTGTAAGGAAAAAGCTGTGTATCATACAGTTAAATCATTCTTAATACAGAGTGACATTTCAACCTCAAGATCATTCTCTACCTATTGCAATATCCATTTAAGAAATTCAACAACAGAGGCACAATGAGTACAATTTGATTTTTAAAAATATATTCAGGCACCAAGCTGGGTATTTAATATAGTTTGCATTCTGTAGTATGATAGGTTTTCTATTTCAGACAGCTAAGAATGCCTTACAGATTAGTCTAATTTGCTAAATTGAGATACTTGGTGTTTTACTTTTCTTATCTTCCTTTTTATGGTCTATCTGGGTAAACTTAATTGGCAAATCTGAGCAGATGAAATACCCTCAGTTAGGAGTGCAGATCTCATGGAGTAAATTAAGACTGATATAGACAATTATGCCCAGAGCCAAGAATGAAAGGTGTGTGCAGAGCAGGAAGCAGAATTAGTCTTCATTTGTGTCTCAGCTTTGTTATTTAAAAGAAGGCAATGTGCTCTCTAAGAAAACATCTTTAACCCATTTATGTCTGAGGTTACAATTTTTTGAATTTTTGCATGAAATTCATATATGTTACCTAGAAAAATTCAAGGAACAAAAATTTGAAGAGAAAAAAAAATTTATTATGTTCCATTGTTATGTGACGTTCCAAAATTGGAACACTAGGCAAAACCACTGCTACACTGTACATAATGTATAAAACTATGTTTCTTATCTCAGGAGGTGGTGACACCTGCTATTCAGTGTGATATTCAACGGAACACTTCACATGTAAGGCAACATCACATTTTTCACATCGAAAAGTTGTGTTCTTATGACATTCAGCGCATCGCGTTTGCTTTCCCTGTTTGACTATCACATGATTTATGCCATCATAACGTGAGTCAATGTTACGCTTCTGAGGTCTTCCTTTTTGGCCAGGTTCTGGAGGATGACCATGGGTCTCCAGATAATGGCATACCACACGTCGACGAAACTCCAGAAAATCCACTGGTTTCTCATCATATGTTTTATGCAATTGCCAAGCATTTTGTAAGACCAGTTCGAAACAGAACAAAAGAGGGCTTGAATACCATTTCTTTCCACGGATTGATGCCCGATACTTATCAATGTTTTCATCAGCTCTGTCTACGCCTCCCATGAACTGGTTATACACTTTGATCATGTTTGGCTGCTGAACTTGTATCTTCTTTTTCAGTTTCTGGGAGTAACGACTGACAAGACACAGGGGATGGATACCAGCACCAGATGAGGCAACAGTGACAACACTGTTATCATTCCATCTGCAGACAATATTGCCTTTGCCATCAATTCGATAATCAAATGTGCCTCTTTCTTTTTTCTTTAAAGCTACATCTGATTCCAGTGGAACTCTGTCAATGTGATCCTTTCTCACTGTACCTGTTGCCTGATGTCCCATTGAACTGAGCTTATCAAGAAGTGCAATACTGGTGAAAAAGTTATTGAATACAAAATGGTATTGTCCAGGGTGTGCCTCTGTAAGTGCCTCACTAAACTGAAGGACAAGTGACGCACCGACACCATATTCCTCATGTTTAGTATTTGGGTTTTTACCCTGATACGGCTGAAACCAGCAAATGTAGCCCAGACAGGTGGCACCACACCAAAACTTATAGCCAAACCGAATGGGCTTTCCCCGAATAAATTGTTTGCACCCGTGACGACCAAAATAAGGAACCATGAATTCATCAAAGCTGAAATATGTTTCATTTGGAACAAATTTCATGCATCTCTCATTAAGTTTGCTTATGAGAGGTCGCAATTTGGAAAATTTGTCCACTGGATCCAAATTTGCATTGTCAGCAACATGCAAATTAGAAAATATAGTTTCAAACCGGTCACGTCTCATGGCAGCACTAACCAGTACATTATGCACATCTGTTCTTTGTTCCCAAAACATACGCCTTCTAGGAACTGAGACATAACCACTCAGAAAAATAATTCCCAGAAAACATTTGAATTCAGAGCTAGTCAAGCCAAGATGTACACCTTTACTGCAAGCATATAAGTTGGAGTACTTGACAATGAGTTCAATGACCTCGTCATCAAGAAAAAGTTCAAGAATTTCTGTGGGAGTTCTCATTACGGTGAAGAAATCGTTTGGTGGTGCTGTAACTCTACCTGCTACGGGTTGTACAGTTAGGTCGGCTTTTTTCCATTTGCAAAGAATTTTTGTCATTTTCCTCCTCCTTGATGGTGGAGGTTGCTGCACAGTAAACGTAGATGGAACTTCATCAGGAGAGTCATCTTTAGGTGCGTATGAGGGATCATCTGAGTCAGACTCAGCATCAGAGCCATCTTGAATAAGATACGCAGCTGTGTGCAACAAAGAACCTGGCAGATTATTTATTGTTCCACCTTCTTCATCTCCTGATTCCTCATCAGAAACAGGTGCTGTAGCATTTTCAGGTGGTTGTATCACTATAGCACTTGCTTCTATGCTGTCATCTGTCTCTAAAAGGTCAGTTATTTCATGTAAACTTAGTGTTCGAGGCATCTTGGGACTAAAACGGAAAAAAGGTATTATTAGTCCTAGTGGTAGTGGTTTTGCCTAGTGTTCCAAAAATGGAACATGAAAAATGTCAAACCCATAACTAATGCAATAATAATACTTTCTGTATTTTCTTTTTACCGCACAATAGCATAACTAGTAGAGAAGTTATTTCTTAAAAATTACTAGTATAGGATGTAGTGCAGTAAAGTTATATGTACCTGTCTTTGGATACTCAAAAATGTTTCTGAAAACTCACATCACTTTTTGACAAGCTCCCAGCATGCCAGTATCTGTAGCAGTAACTAACTCTGTGCACCAAGTGATAACATGTACCCTCAGGAGGCAGACATGTGTGAAAAATCAGACCTTGGCAATGACCTTGAGCAGTAGGGCATGAATAACTCCCACATGCTTAGCGTTCCAATAATGGAACACTAGGCATAAATAGGTTTTAAAAGTGTAACTTTTTCTTTCAACTTATAGATTCCTAAAAGAAAATGAACACAGTCTTCTTTCTTTTTTTTTTTTCTCTCAGGCTCCAGTGATCCACCCACCTCAGCCTCCTGGGTAGCTGGGACTACAGGCGCACATCACCACACCCAGCTAACTTTTTCTATTTTTGGGGTTTCACCATGTTGCCCAGGCTGGTCTCGAACTCTTGAGCTCAAGCAATCCTCCTGCCTTGGCCTCCTAAAGTGCTGGGATTACAGGTATGAGCCATTGTGCCCGGCCAGGCTTATTTCTTGAGAAAAATGAACTCTCAGAGATGTTAAGAACATTCTTAAAATAATTGTATTTAGGTTTCTGGATAAAATCTCAAACTTTTACTAAATTCAGATTTTGGGAGAGTTTTGTTTTTTCTCTTTAATTTGGGCTTTAAAAAAAAGGCACAATCAAATCAACCTCCACATTGTGAGTTGGCCTTTGCCGAAGCACAGCCTAAAATTGCTAAATCCTCATCGGGTGCAAACCAGGATCCAACTGAAGGACAGACAGGACAATCCCAGTGCAAACAGGTGCTAGACAGAAGGGAGAAGTTCCCAGAAGACAATAAAATGGAGACAGGCTGTGAGGTTGGTGGTTCTCAGGGCACTGCCTTTAGAAGCATTTCAGGATAGGAATGGGACATTGGGTTGGAGTTGGCCCCCATCAAGTGGAGGGAGAAACCAGGCACTGAAACAATGCTTGTCCGAGTCTGCTGCAGCAAACCAAGCTGCGAGATCACTCTCATGTGTCCCACACCACCTTCAGACCCCTTCTCCTTCTCCAAGCCCTTCCACTGACTGCTGCCTTGAGCAAATGACTTCATCTCTCTGGGCTCAAAGTCCTATCTCCTGGGTGGCTGTAAGGATTAAACGAATTAACCTATATAACAAGAAGAACCACAAGAACCACTAAGTCGTACGCATTCAAACATGTCAGCCATCATTGTTCTTGTGCACCACTCCCGCCCCTGCCCCCACCTCCACTTGATGCCACCTTTGCTCAGGCCCTAAAGGCTGCAACGTTCCAAATCCACAAGACTCTCTTCATAACAGTCATTCTACTTGGCTTGACCCCTAGCATCTGAAATGCTGACAGCTCCCTCCTCAGAACAGTGGATGTGCACAACCCAACCCTCCCAAGCCAGGGTTCAATGGGGCCCTGGCCACAGAGGCCCAGTGCTCAGGGGAAGGACAATGAAGAGTATTATCTTCGCAGGAGATTATGTCTCACAGACTATTAGAAGACATTCTGTAAGACTTACACAATGAATGGAATCTTTATCACCCCTTTACATCTCAGAGTTACTCATGTAAAAAAGGTAAAAAATAGGGCACAAGAAAAACCTTTAGGATCAAAAATTTATTAAAAACCAATTATATCAACAGGCATCAAGTCTACAGATTCAGGTTACACCAGACCATGAAGTAAATTCTGTCCCCATCCACACCATACTTGCCAGGTCTTCTAGACTCCTGAGCCATCTCCCTATATCCTCATCCAAATTCCCAGATTACAGGCTTAGGTTTTTGGTTTGGTTTTCAGTCCAATGGAGGTGGGGGCAGCTATGTGTTGATTTTTGGCACCACCCTGTGGTCATACCTAAATATTGCACCTTCTACTCAATCCCACAAAGGGAAGGAAACATGTATGTAGAGGGCCCAGCCGACTTCAAATCTCAGCTCTACTTCACAGTAAAACTGTGGGCAAGCCAATTAACTGGAGGGGCCGTGATTATAACCATGTAAAGATGTGTATTCACAGAACCAAAGACTGGAATGACATGTAGAAAATAAAAACATAAAAGAGGTCATTTTTTCATCTTAATATTGTTGTCATACTTTTACAATAAAAATAGGGACTCATCAGAAGTGCTGAAAGGTGGCGAGGGAGCCTTCAAACCATGCAGAGGAACCAACTCAAATCCACTTCAGGCTATGCATTTAGCAGCTTAGCCCAATGCACCAGGTCATCTGAGGAGACTCAGGCACCGCCTACTGAAGAGTCCGTTTCTGAACTCCCCACTATGTTTCCCTGATCGGGGTGGGCATGGGTCGGGGATTTATCCCAGAGGCAATTATTTGCTGAGTGTGGGCCATAGTAAAGAAAAAAGCATTACATTCTCAAGCCTCAACATCCTTACCAACAATGCTTCCCAACTGCCTCAAAGCTCTCCTAAATGAGAACATAGTTCTTTCTGAGCAAGGTCCTGTGGACCATGAAGAATGTCACCAAGCTCCCCTCAGAGTCAGCGGGAGCTCAGCCAAAGCACAAGTGCAGTGCCCAGCTCCTCCCACTCTGCACCTGCTGCCTCAGACTCCCCACGCTGAGCCCAGGCCCCTACCCTCTGAAGGTGTTTCCCATGTGATTCTGACACACACACCCCACAAGAACCAGATGATCTATGACATACAGCATTTAGCTAAGGCTCCCTGCCAGGCCCTCCCCTGTGTACATACAACTGTGCAGGGCACATAAAAGAGGATTTTTGAGAAACTGATATACAAACTGCATCAGCCAAAAGCTGCAGCCCCAAAAAAGAGAAATACATAAGACTGACTTATTTCCATCCCTAGCTCCCAAACCTGACAGTGATCAGAGCCATCTGGGAACATTTTTTAAAAGTCCTGCCCGGTGACCCCACGCTACACTTCCTAAGTCAGCGTCTCCAGTGTTAGGGGCTCCCAGTGACACTGCATAATCAGTCTGTGGGTGGGGAAGCTTTGCTCTCGTCTGTGCTCGTTGCCCTCACTGTAGTCTGCGAGGGCAGCAACTTAAATAGTAACTGCCGATACATGAAAATAGAGTAAGAACTTGGGGGAATGAGTTTAAGTCAAATGATAAACACTAACCCTAGTCCTGCCAGCAAGAAGAGACAAAAACATATCTGGAAATGCATTTTCTCACTCAGGATGCAACCCATCTATGCCCTGCAGCCTGACCAAGCAGTGCTGACCACTGCTGGACAAAGAGGCAGGAGTCAGTGACATCTGTTTTATTATGTCAAGGCTGGCAAATACCTAGCATGAATGTTGCTAGTTCCCCACTGTGCCTATGATAGACATCACTAAGGAACTGCACACTCTTCCCAATCCACCCAAACAGGGCCTCGGAGCCCCCTGAATAGACTACCACTCCCCAGAAATCAGAGCTGGCTGGAAAGTGAAGCCCACCTGCCCTCCCTGTCCTCAGCCTCTCTGCACATTGTGGCATCACACCAACCTCCAAGGCAATCCAAATGAGAACCCTGAGGAAATAATGTGCCTCCAAAGCAAAGCAAATTCCTTCCCTTCTCAATGATGCACCTGGAGTTTAGGGGCAAATGCGTAACATTGTTAATTTGGATAAGGGTCATATTAATATATCTGAGCCACCCAACAAGACAAGGCCCTGCACTGGATGAACTTCCCCAACAGTCTCTCCCAAATGCCTCAGTCTGAATTCATTATTCCCTTCACACTTGGTTAGGTCCTATTTGTGCCCAAGTCTATTAACAGACTGCAAATTTTTTGCCAGAAACCCTTGAAGCCAGTCCAAGGATGCAGACATGCATTGTTGACATGAAAGCAAAGATAAAGCTATGGAGGCTTACCTCGAATATGGCAACTGGGAAGTGAATCAATAACATGGAGGTAACAAGGACTGGGGACAAGCGACCTGATCTTTATCACCCTGAAGGGGAAAGGTTCACATGAAATGTTTGGTCTTCTGGGCCACACAGGGCTGTCTTGGCTGCACAGCCTGTACTAGGTAAGCAGCATGTAGGTGCTCACCGGGAACCCACATCACTCAAACACTGAAGGTGTGTTAGTCCTAATCTTTATTTGGCACCCGGAGCTCCCAGGCCCACAATGTGCAAAGCAGTAGTATATTTTAAGAAAGCACTAGACCTCACAACCAACAGCCATAAGCAAATGGAAACCGTGGTAGCACAAAGTAAAATGAAAAAATAATGTATGTTTTACAAGACCTGTATACCACTGACCATAGAACCGACAGAACATTTACTTCTAAGCAGTGGCTCATCCATCCTGTATGACATGAAAGGGTATGAAAACCAGGGAACCCACTGAGGAGTCAGCCTCCAGATACAGTTCAGTGCAGAGGAGGAGGCAGGAGAAACACATGAGAAGGGGGAATACACGGTTTGAAAAATGGTTAAAACTTCAAAGACTGAGCTGAGGGCTTGAGCCAAATGAAGGAAAGCAGGATCCAAAGGGCGACTGCCCAGTTCCATTAAAAAAGCTATGGAAAGGGCTTGACGGAAAATTCCTAGTAAGTATCAGCTAAAACAAAGGCACCTAGTTAGGGTGAACCTAGTGCCAGTGAAAGGCCGATGGCTCTCAAGCTGAGAGAATAAAGAGGATGAGATATCCAGAAGTCACCCACTCTCACTTCCTAGAGTTGAAAAGAGCATTATAATTAACAGGCTATACCCTCAGTAAAAGGTGTTAAGTTCAGCAAAGGGTGCCTACCCTGGGAACTACTCCTAAATTCTAACCACTAAAAAAAAACTAATTTTCTATGTTGTAAACTCTATGACTTTATTCTAATCATCCATCGTCAAACCACTGCTAAGACAAGCAACCCTAAAGGTCTTTCTGTTTCTCAAGGGAATAGCATTACCATTTCAATTAGTCTACAAAGATCAGCAATGAGTAACAAAATATAGAGAGACTGGCAGTTCTAATATGCTTCTCAATCCTGAGCATTTTATTTTCTTTCATCCCCCAAACCAAACAGCACCAAAGGAGATGTAATAACAAATATTTCAATGTGGATATCTGCAGTTTAACAGCCTTAATAACTGTAGCTATAAAATGTTAAGAGCTATCGTATTTTGGTGGCAATTAAGAGTTATTGATATTTCTGAAATTCATTTGAGATTTCACTGTAGCTTTAGCAAAATATTGGCTCTGGAAATAATAAATTGTTTTACAATCTTAACATTATTAAGAAAAACTTATTGCCATCAAATTAACTAAACCCACATTTAAAATTCAATCAAAATAAATTGCTCTTGATCAAAATACTGATATATTTTAAACATATTTAATATTGACCCAATTTAATTGGAAAAATATATATTGCTCCATTTATAATCAATATGTTGAGATTAACACTTTTATTAATTCCTTGCAGTAGTTAAGAAAAAGTCTGACACCGCTCACTGTTCAAGAGTACTGGGCAACATTCCTCAAACAACTTCACAGGTAATAAACGTGCACAGAAACGAAAGCTGTGCTGAGGGATGACAAATATAAGCCAGCCCTCATCTGTGCATTACTACATAAGGTGCTACTAGAATGTGAGTGCCGCAACTCTAAAGAACAGGATTTAAGTCACAGGTCCTCAAATTACTGTTTAAAAGAATTGACACATCTATTTCGGAAAGGTTATGGAATGTCTGTAGTGTCTGGACGGGGGTTAATGAGCAGTTCTAAGTAACAAGAAAAAACACCAGGTCAACCTTCACTCACAAAGGCCAATAAATACAACAAACTAGGTCTCTTCACCTTGAGAAATAAGAAAAAACTGTTGAGGATTGGGAAAAAGCCATCCCACTATCAAGTATTTTAAAAGTAATAAGGTTCCTTTTTCCCTTTGACTTCCTTAGAGCTAAGTGAGCTCTAAGTCAAGGAGACTTGAAATGCGCGGCAGTAGCACAGTGTTCAGTGGGCCACCATGGGGAGGCCTGCAATACAGATTATTTTTCCTGGCTCTCAGAAAACGTGTGGCAATATGCAATTCAGACTTCATGTTTCACATGTTCACCTTCCCTTTTATGGTGCTTGCTTTATACAATGACAATGTCATGGAGCTAAAAGCCAAAGTCAGTCTCTAACATAAAAAACAACAGTGAAAAGAAAGGTATGCTGTGCATACAAAGTACACTTTTTGCATGATGGTGGCTTATAATTATGCAGATGACTATTTTCTCAAGACAAAGGAAGGATTTACAAAAGCAAGCTTATTCTTTCTATGCCAAAGCTTAAGTTTCAGCTCTTTTTTGAAGAAAAGTTCTCTAAAATTACTTTCCTGCTTCAAAAGGGAAAACAGAAACCCCTATCCAGTATGCATTAATTCACCCTTTTCTTTTTCCTGATACTCATTCTAGGGTGACTGTCGGTATAAAGGCGACACAGCTCACACTCAGCCCTCTGTATGCCTCTTGCCCCAGCCTTCCCTTAAGTTTTTCATCTTAGACTTGCCTCCAAATCCAACTAAAGACCTAGAAGTACATGCATTTGGGGCCAGCATCATTAAGGACTCAGGGGCCCCACTGCTTCTAGCAGGTTAAGGCTGCAGAAATCCAACCTCTGTATAATCGGGGGGGTCTAATATATTAAGCTGGATCTAGAATGCTTACATATTAATAAACCTGTCACCTAAGATAAAGCAAACAGTACAATGTATTTATAATCCCCACAGACCGACCTTAACCGCTGCTTATAATAATCTTCATCTCCATCATCTCGGTATCTTCCCACTTTCCGACCTCCTCCTCCTCCTTCTCCTACAGAAGCAGCTTCAGCTTCTTCCCCAGAACTTGGGAAAAAGTCATCATCAATCTCCTGCACTGGCACTTTCTTCTGCCGTTTCCCGCCCTTGGGCAGAGGCTTCAGCTCATAGTCAGTACCATCTCCAGACAGGTCCGCCTCTGCCCCCTCCACCTCGTCATCTTCCTCCTCTTCCTCCTCCTCTGTGGGGAAATACTCAGACTCTTCACCCTCAGAGTCTCCCTCTGCCTCTGGCCTCATGTCTGACTCCCAAGGTCTCCTTGCCTTTGGCAATCCCACTTTCCCCTGGAACTGCAAAGCCCTCTTCTGGAGTTTCTTGATGTGCTTTTTCAAACGCTCCTCTTTTTTGGACAGAACTCTGGCTTTCTTGTTTGGTTTGTTTTTATTTTGCACTGGGGCTGGAGGCGTGACTGGGGCTGGAGCTTTTCTAGCTGCTCTTTTATTACAACCTTGCTTCTTCCTTTCAAAAGACAGTTTTGCTTGATCTGCCAAATACTTTTCGAAGCCTGATGCTTCATTAAGCATGATTTTTCTGGGCTTTTTCTCCTGTTTCTGAGGGATCTGGGTACCAAAAGGTGTCATCTGGCCAGTGCGGATGAGCTCTTCCCAGGCAGTCTCCTGGACAGGCATGAGCATGCTGCCAAGACTGGATGGCCCCGGCTCTGAAAGAACAATAGCAATGCGTTTCGCACTAGCATGAAACTTTCCGAGGGTACAAAAGAAATGCTCACTCTTTCAAGAAATATTAGGCAGCTACAAATAACTCATATAAAAAAAGAATCATCCATGTACTAAAGCATGTTACATATGAAGGACAGAATAAAATTATAGCATCATGCTATATTTAATATATTCCTGTTCAAAAAGACAACTTCTCAGTAACTTTTCCCCAAAATATTTCACTATAAATATACTCTCTGCCATCCAAAGATAGGCTTATTACTGTATAAATACAGTTATAAATAGTCAAGTTTAGCTGTGTTTCCTTATCAGCTGAGTAGTCGTCCATGAGGAAGCAAGCTCCGAAGTTCTCACGTCATTGCTAAAACCAACATTCAGATGGACTTAAATTCAAGAGACAGTAAAACCAAAAACAGGGATCACCATGTACCTAAAAAGGAAAAACATAAATGTCAGCTCTATGCTGCCCAGCATGGCAGTTACCAGTCACCTGCAGCTATTTAAATTTAAATTACATTAAGTTAAAAACTCAGTTCCACAGTTGCATTTGCCCTTTTTCAAGTGCTCAAGAGCTACACGTGACTAATGGCTACTATAATGGGCAACACAGAGAACATTTTCATCACTGCAAAAAGGTCTATTGGACAGCAGCACTGTGTTAGATATGTGAAGTTAACTGACTTGAAGACATTACACCATAAGTGTAAAGTCACCAGAAAGTATCCCTCTTTCATTAGTTGAAATTCATCTCTGGCAAAATTACCACATAACCAAAATACCAAAAGACCTAAGGCTTAATAGGAAGGAATCCATATTCTAAAATCTACAATTCTTGCAGGCCAATGATACCCAGTTTTTCATTAAACTTGCACTGAAATAAAACATACATCTGAAAGTGCACAAATCATTAAGTGTAGAACTCAGTGAATATTCAGAAAAAATGTACTCATAAACTAGCAGCCATATCAACTAACAGAATTACTAGCACCACCAGATGAGCCCTTCAGGCTACCTCCCAGCCTCTACGCCCCCCAAGATAATGATGGACCTGGACTCCTAACGTACAGACAAGTTGTGCCTGTCTCTGAACGCTACGTAAGTGGAAATGTTTGTGCCCTGTGTCCACCTTCCTTCACCCAACATTATGCTTTTGAGCTGCATCCTTACTGTTGAATGTAGCTGTAGTTTGTTAACTCTCACTGTTAATGCACATTTGAGTGGCTTCCAGGTTTTGGCTACTAGGAATAATGTTGCTATGAATATTCTGATGCACATCTTTTGGTTTTATTTATATTTATATATTTATATATTTATATATTTTTATATATATATATATATATATATATATATATATATATATATATATCTGGGTATGCTAAGCTTTAGTAGACACTGTCAGTTTTCCAAAGTGTTACGTTCCAAAGTCCCCATCAACTGTGTCAGAAAGTTCCAACTGGTGTATATTCTTGCCATTCCATGTTAGCTATTTTGGTAGATGTGTAGTGGTACCACATTATGGCTATAATTTACATTTCCCTGATGACTAACAAAATAGGTGCCTTTCATGAATTTATCTTTTGGATAGCCTTTTTTGTGTAGGAAGTGTTCCAGTCTTTCGCCCATTTTTGTTTGTCTGTTTCTTTAAATGATTTCTAGTTCTTTATACATCCTAGATTTGAGTCCTTTGATTCACACATGTATTGCAAATATCTTCCCCAGCTCAGTATCTTGCCCTAAATGCTATCTTCTGATGAACAGAAGTTCTTGGTTTTATATATAGTCCATTTAACAAATCTTTTCCTTTACACTGAGTATTTTGCCTCAATTAAGCCTTAGGTCTTTACACTGAGTATTTTGCTTCCTATTAAGCCTTAGGTCTTTTGGTATTTTGGTTATGTGGTAATTTTGCCGGAGATGAATTTCAACTAATGAAAGAGGGATACTTTCTGGGTGACTTTACAGTTATGGTGTAACTTCCAATTTCAGTTCATGTCTTCAAGTGTTGGCTGGTGTCCAGACGGAGAGATATAATAGGAACCAGGAACTCAAAAAAAGAGCAAAGCCAGATGTCTACAGATCTGTATAAGGTACTAGTAGAACCTAGGTGGCTGCAAAAGCCATGGGGAATAGATAACCAGGGAGAGGCAGTAGAACAAGAAGAGGGCTCAAAGAAATCCTGAGAAACATCAATATTTAAGATATGGCCAGAAATAACTATGCAGAAGTAGTCAGAGGGCTAAAAAGAAAACCAGTAGAGAAGCAGGGATCCCACAAGGAACAGAAGTGTCAGCTGCTGTGGACAGGCAGAGTGGAACAAGGATAAAAAGGGGCTCTTGGATTTGAGGAGGTAGCTATTAACCCTAGACAATGTAGCTATTAACCCTACTACCAAAGTTTTAGCTATTAACCCTAAGAGGTAGCTATTAACCCTACTACCAAAGTCACAGTAGGAGGTGAAAGACAACAGCAGATCTGAGACGGCCAGACAGGAACAAACATCTGTTATCAATGAGAAACATAGTACACAGCAGTTAAAAGCACTGGTCATAGGCCTAATGAATTCTGAGAGGCTGAACTTTAAAACCACGTACTTTTGGGCTGGGTGCAGTGGCTCACACCTGTAATCCCAGTACTTTGGGAGGCCAAGGTGAGCAGATCACCTGACGTCAGGAGTTCGAGACCAGCTTGGCTAACATGGTGAAACCCTGTTTCTACTAAAAATACAAAAAATTAGCTGGGCATGGTGGTATGCGCCTGTAATCCAGCTACTTGGGAGGCTGAGGCAGGAGAATCGCTTGAACCCGGGAGGCAGAGGTTGCAGTGAGCTGAGATGGTGCCATTGCACTCCAAACTTGGGCAACAAGAACGAAACTCTGTTTCAAAAATATACATATTTTTTTCTATTGCTTCAATTAATTCTTCATAACAATTCTCATCTTACTGAATAAACTTCTAAAGCTAGTAGAAAATAGTTGCTTAGAGAATTTAATGCTAAGCAGCTTTAATCTGTATTTCAAATAGTCAATGCCTATGCAGCCACCAACAATTTGTACACACACACACACATACACACACACAATGACTGCAAAGATAATTTAGTTCCAGAGCTTACGAATTTTCCCAAAAAGTTTTCCAAAAGACAACCATCCAAGACAGTAATGTAAATGAAATACTGCCCAGAGTACCTGAATGAAGATGTCTTTTCTTAAACTGATGCTTGGAAAGCCTGCCAAATACGCTCTTTAAAGACACGTGAGAGCCATTCTACAAATGCGATTAATGATGTTGGGCTTCCAACATGTAATTTAATCATGATGCTAGTTGTCTTTATCAAATTAACAAAATAAGAATGTTTAAGATTTCCAGTGTATTAAATGTAATAATAAATGTGTACCAGCAGCCTCCTATGAACTGAGTTAAAAGTTTACTTTAATTCTCTTTGAGAGGGATTTGGTTCTGCAGGTGTAGAGAATAAAATTTTCCTAAATCTGTTTTGACACTAAGGCAAAGAAACGTATTTTTCTCAAAACCCAGGCAAAGACTAAAGAGACACCCTCCACTGACTACAGGCATCAGGCATCAATTCAAGAACACAGAGAAACTGCTCCTAGCATCCTCACCTGCATCCTCCTCCAGACTGGCGTGATCTAGTTCAATTTTCACCTCTGCTCCTCCAAGGATGGCCTGGAGATGCTTTTGTTTTGCAGTGATCTTTTTTAGCTGTTGTTCCTTGAATGGTAAATATAGAAGACAGAAAACAGCAATGAAGTGATTTATTGTTAAATACAAAAGATAGCATTATGAAATTTTAAACTTAAATCCAAAGTAAAATAAAAATAATATACATTACATAAAAATTCCATACATTACTATTACTAGAGAGCCCTATGTGAGCAACTACCACTTTTCTAGGAGTAAAGGGGCCGTGAATATTCCCAGCAGACAGGCATGCCTGCACCCCCATGCTCTCCTGAGGACGGCAGACTGCCTTCTATGTGCCCGAGCCCTTAAATACATGGGCACTGACCTGAAAGGTGGACTTGTTCTACTTGGTTTCCCCCTTACACACTGGGCAAATCCCTAAACTACTCTGTATTTCTGATTCAGAACCAATGGGCTATGGAAGTCAACAGGCCATAAGATAAGAAATAAAAACACAAATGTTCAATTGAAAAAGTTAGTCTCCTTTGATAACCTACTATATTTATGACTGTCCTTTTAGTATTCTACCTAATCAAAAAGCTTTAAGAAAAAAATATATCTTGCCATGCCTCTCCACCCTGGCCACGCCAGACTCCTCTTTGTCTTGTTCCCTTCCACATCACCAGAACTCAGATATGTGCCCTTGGGCTTCACTGGGGAGGCCCAATGAACTGGGCTTGTGGTACCTGGTTCATCTTTCCAAGGTCAAGAATGTTTCAACTTCAAATACGAGTGTGGGACAAGGGGAAATCCTGAACATAAATGCCACACTGCAATGACTTGCAATTTGTTTTTTCTCAGTTTTTCTCTCAGCAACATTCTGTCTAAAGCACTTTCCCTCTGAATAGTCTACCTCTAACCATCAAAGAGCTGCTAAAGACAAGAATGCATAATTAAGTTAGACTAGGACCTGAAGTGGTCTCAAGTTTGATGCTCTACACCCTTGAAATTCCAGCCCACTAGAAGCCCAAGAAGGTCTCTGCACATCAATTTCACATGCTCCCACAAGAGACCAGATGTCCTCTCTCTGATTTGGGAGGACCCACCTGCCTTGGGCAACTGCTAGCTTTGACCTTTGGGCTGCTATTCTGGAAGCAAGTGAGAGAAGATGGGGTAGTGCAGGTAACAGACTGGTGAGTGGAAAGTATAATAAAAGGAGGGCCACGTGAACTGAACCAACGCACAGCCCTGCCCCTGGAGAGCTTAAAGAAAAGATGCAAGGACTCTACTCACTGCAGTGAATCAACTGTAAGCACAAGTTGGGATGGCAGAACTGAAATGGTTACAGCTAGTCATTCCTATCTATTGCAATGTATTTTCACAAAGGGGTACATAAATCATAAAAAATGTTTCAGACCTCACAAAGCTGTACATAAATCCTTAAAAAAAGTTTCAAACTTCATAAAAATAATATCCTAAGTAACAAATATTCCCTACCCTTAAGTTTTCCAAAGCTAAGTACAACCCCAGTGTGGCTGGGTGCTGACTGTAACACCCAAGGTGGGAGGAAGGGCCAAGCTCTCGCAACTGTCAGCAAAGGTGTGTGAGGGTCAATGGCTGCACCACCAAGAAACAGAGTGGAGACAATTAGAGGAAGCAAGGGCTAAGCAGAAAAGAGTTCACAGGAGACCAGGAGACTGAGGCCAGTGTGACCCTAAGCCAGGCCAAAGAAATGGTGATGCAGGAAAACTAAGGAAGTGCGCCCAAGTGAGGCAAGCAACACCAAAAAGGAACTTTTCTCAAATACACAGATGGTCTCCAACTTATCATGGTCTGACTTGCAATTTTTCAACTTTGTGATGGGTTTATCAGGGCATAACCCCATTATAAACTGAGGAGCCTCTGGACTTAACTATGGTTTGACTTACAATATTTTGACTTTAAGATAGGTTTTTCAGTGTATTTAATGCATTTTTGACTAACAATATTTTCAATTTACGATGGGTTTGTCGGGATGTAACCCTGTTGTAAATCAAGGAGCAACTGTATACGTATGGATGTGTGTGTCTATGTATGTGTGTTTTTTTAAATGCAATAGAATGGGATGTTAAAGGAAAACAGCAGAAAGATTAAACATACAAAAGAAACCCAAAATTTCTCTATTGTAATTATAAGTATTTGCTTCACATCTTATAAGCACTTTTTAAAATACTTCCTAAATTAAGTGCCCCTAAATGATGACTTTTTCAAAAATGCAATACTGAATGTTATTCTGAATCACCTTATTATACTTCTGTCGTTTTACAGAATCTAGTTTCCTGTTGATGTCTCTGCTGGTGGCAGCTTGAGGGCTAAGCTGTTCAATAATTTTATTGATTTGCCTTAGGGATGTCGTACATGACCTGAAAAATAAGATAAATTGTCTATTTTGCACTCTGATAACATTTTTATAGCATAATATAAAGAGAAAAATGCTAAAAACATGTCCCTTTTACTTCTTATTAACTAAAAGATAAAGGAAACTAAACCAGAATACATACCCTTATTGGCCACAAATAAAACTTGTAGGATCATTAGAGGTTTAAGATGACTGCTAGTGTTTTCTTTTATCTAGCTGATTTAGATCAGCTCATTCCCATTTGTAAGCTGCTTCAGTCATTCTACAAGCATTATTTAAGTGCCTACTTTATTCAACACACTATGCTAGAACAATGTGCAATAAGTTGTCCTTTTACATGAAAAAATGCATACATGGGTTTTTTAAGCCCGTTACGGAAGCCTTCCAAAGTCTGGAAGCATCCTAAATATGCTTAAACATTTTTTTATATAAATCACACATCTGCGACAATATTTTTCTTCTACATAAATGGAAGATTCACTTACTACAGCACTAAACTTTGTGGTGCAAAGAAAACAAATCAATTTAAAATAAATTACTCCTAAAATAGACACCATAGAATTGTAGCTTCCAATTTTCAAAACACAAATTCAATCTTCTTGATGATTGTGTAATTTGCTGTTTGTATCCTCTGTGGATTACAGGATAAACAATGCGTATTACTGGCTGAGACACCACATGCCACCAGCCATCTAGCATCACTCTGCATGGAGACCCCACAACTCTCCTCTGTCACCTCTGGAGAAAGAGGACACATTTCCAAGATCAAATGTAAAAGTATCATTACAAAGAGTTGAGGTCCTCAACACTCAGACTATAACCATGAACGAGCACCTGCTCCTGAGGAGGCCAAAAGAACACACCAGGGAATGGTTAGCAGAAAACATGTCTTTGAAGTACCAACAACCACATTCATGACAGCGCCACACTCCACCCTCCCCAGCTATCCTCTGTGACACTGCTCCATCCTCCATCCCGTTCAGCCCTCGCCTTCTTTCTTGCTTACCTGACACTGCCCAGAACACTGCCCAACGGGGGCCAAGCAGCAATGATAAGTGAGCTCAACCCCTCCCACTTCCCCTCTCCTGTCCTCACCTCCTACCCTTGCTCAGGTCTACAGCCTCCCCTTCTTCCCCATTAACGTGCTATGCTCAAAACAGCTCAAGTCTTCTCCCTCTCTAAGACACAAATAAAATCTCCATTTCCAGAGTCAGAACAAGGATGGAAGAAAAGAAAACCGGGGAGTCTTTATTATTTCTAAAAATGCAAATCTGAAAAATTGCCCAAGGACTGAACACTAAGTTTGGGGACAGTAAGCTAGAAAGAAGCTACCGCACAGAGAAAAATGTGAAGGGGGCGCAATGTATTCCTGGCATCTCGAATAGGAAACACCTGAATTTAGGTGCACCTCTCCTGAGATCACTTTGTGCACATGCTGGTGAACAGCCCTTCTCTTCTGGACATTATGCATGCAACTGGCTTTCACGAGCTGGACAGAGACTCTAACTACCATGTACAATGCCACTCCTAAGGGGAAGGGCTGGGACTCAAAGATGAGGTTGAGGACTGCCCTTATTGACTCTGTCCTCCAAATAAAAGGTTCTACACATCTCCTAAACTTCTGGAATACTAGAGCTTTCCATTACCTGAATATCCCTGTCATGTTTTACCACCACTTTGAAAGGAAGAAGATGGGCTGCACTCACGTGAGGTCATCCAGGACCGACCGATACTCCTTCTCCACGTCAACGAGCTGGGAGGCACGGCTGGCCTCATGGATGGCATTGTCCACCTGCTGAAGCACTCCCTGTTCCAGCACGTCCTGGTCATAGACGTCCACACCCAAACCCTGCAGCTCAAGGGCCTGGGCGCTAGGCTCTACTGCCTGGATCTGATGTCGGTCGATGTGCAGCAGGGCTGGCCCTCTCCTCGGAGCTGCTGATGCGCACCCCACAGCAGAGGTGGACAGCCCGTCACCCACAGAACGAAAGGAGAGGTACTCCTCCACCTCCCCATCACCACCACTTTCTTGCTTGATTGCCATTTCTTCATTATTACTGACAGGTTGACTCTGTAAACAGTCTTGCTCCTGAGTTTGACTTGAGTGGGGGATTCCCTCATTTGGCATTCTCTACAGACTACCTAAAAGGAAAAAAATTTATAAGCCTTTTCGTTATATAGGATTCATTGTAGTTCTTAAATATTTTATAATTAGAGCAGACTGATTTCTCAAAAGATCAAGTAATAATCTTCCAACTACATAAATTCAAGTTTCCAAGTATTAATTTACTAAAAAGGGACAACGTATCTTCTTGAGTTCTGATAATAAATAAGAAAAATTAACCAGAAAAAGAAATGCAGTATCATCAACAAAGGACATTTAGGCAGCCAGCTAAGAAAGCCAGCCACCAAAATCCTGGGGTGATGGCCATGGAATATTCTTCAAAACAGCTGAAGTCATTTGGCTGCTGTTTTCCAAGTTAGCATCTTCATTTCATTATGACACAAATGATTTATAATATAGTGGCAAGATCAACTGTAATGCATAGGAACAGCGATGTTAGGAAAGAGCTTCTGTGTGAATCTGAGACTAGAAACTCCTAGGCTGAATACCTATCCAGTAAATAGGAGCTTTGAACAAATCAGAAGCTCAGAAGATTAATTAGGCCAGGCACGTGGCTCAGTCCTGTAATCCCAGCACTTTGGGAGGCCAAAGCGGGAGGATAGAGACCAGCCAGGGAAACACAGCGAGCTCAGGACTTCGAGACCAGCCTGGGAAAGATAATGAGACCTTGTCTCTACTAAAAATTTAAAACCTTAGCCAGGCCTGGTGATGTGCACCTATAGTCCCAGTTACTCAAGGGGCTGAGGCAGGAGGATCACTTGAGCCTGGGAGATGGAGGCTGCAGTGAGCCATGATTGCACAACTGCACTCTAGCCTGGGCAAAAGAGCAAGACCTTGTAAAATAAATTTAAAGTTTTTTTAAAAGATTAATTAAAATATTCTCAAAAATAGGCTGGGCACGATGGCTCACATCTGTAATCCCAACACTTTGGGAGGCTGAAGCGGGCAGATTACTTAAGGTCAGGTGTTTGAGACCAGCCTGGCAAACATGGTGAAACCCGATCTCTACTAAAAATACAATAATTGGCTGGGTATGATGGTGAGCACCTGTAATCCCAGCCACTCGGGAGGCTGAAGCAGGAGAATCACTTGAACCCAGGAGGCGGAGGTTGCAGTGAGATGAGATCTCACCACTGCATTCCAGCATAGGCAACAGAGTGAGACTCAATCTCAAAAAAAAAAAAAAAAAAAAACAAAAAAAAAACTCCATTTTAATACACAGTATAATTTCTCACCCATCAGGTTAGCAAGAATTCAAAGCCTGATAGATAAATCCAATACAGACAAGGAGAAGGATCCCCCCTCACATAGTGCTGCTGAGAATATAAATTAGTAAAGCCCCTTGTAGGGACAACTTAGCAATATCTATTAAATTAAAGGCACATGACCTTTGTCAAGCAATTCTAGGTATTTATTCCAGAGAACTAGTCACACACAGGTGCAAGAATGTTTAGTGCAGCACATTTTTAATAGTTTAATGTAACTACTAAGTATATTCTGTATACTGATATAAAAGCCATGTTAAGTGAAAAAATTCATGGTATGAACACACTTATGCTGAAAAAAGTATCTATCCTGCACACAGAATGATCTGGCAGGATACAAACTAAGCCTGCAAATCAGGATGGGGAAGAGAAAGCACAGGGAAAAATAAGGGGGAATGTTCACATTGTACTCCACATACTCAGGACCTGCTGCTTTAAGGAGAATATATTCACTATATTACCTATACAACTATCACATCTAATAAATATATTAAAAAGCAAAACGATAACCAAAAATCAGTCTTGCTTTTTGTTTAACTGTGAATAAGATTTCTTTGAGCACTGTAACTTTTCTGTTAAATGACAAGTTCCCCCAGTGGGCCCCACTCATCCCTTATTAAGTAAAATAAGCCCAGCAATAAAGCACCGGGATACAAAGAATTCAGCATCATCTACACCCGAGTGGCTATCCACTGGAGCAGCAGCATGTCAGTTAACAACAGAGCAGGGCAGGTCAGCTAGCCCGGGACACGGACAAGAGGTCACACGAGCATCGAGCGAACTATATATGGTGTCTGGGGCCCAAGAAATATCACGGAGGAACTGAGATTTGAACACATGGGCCATGCATGGTCTGATATATAGGAGGTGCTCAATATCTGCTGAAAGGAAGTGAGGTTCAGAGCTAAGTCTAAAATAATAAAAAGTTTGGTCTGGACAAATGAGTCACCAGTGAATTCAGTCACAAAAATGAGACTCTCAAAAAGGAAGCAGATAGGAAGCAGGACTGGCAAGCAGCTTACATGTAATCAGTACCATTTGCAGCATGCAGTCAGAAATGCAAATCTGAGCTCAAGGGAAAGTCTGGGTGACATGTGGACACATCAGCAGAGTGAGCAGTTCCAGGGTTCCCAAGGCTCTGACAGGTACCTAAGGTCATTTTGGAGGGTACGAGGAGGCTAACATTGGAAAGGTTAAAAAGTGAACAACACAGTGAGAAAGTTCCTTCTTTTGGGGCCTGCTGATTATTTTCAAGAGGAAGGCTCAGCTCACCTCACTTTCCAACAGAGAGAGCAGGATTCCAGCTCAGAGTGTCTGTACTAGCTGGCAGTTAACAATTCTGTTTTCATTTTTCTTATTTGTACACACATGAGGATTTCTTTTTAAGAAAAAAGGATGCCAATTCAACCAAAAATATTAAGTAACCATTTTTCTATTTCTGTAAAATAATATCAAAAAGCAATAGTATTGTAGTGTAAAGACAAGGTTAAAAATAAAGAAGTTTGGGGAAAACTTCTAATAATAAAAAAGGAGGAAGAGCGTCCAGTGAATGAGAAAAGGCTGAGTGAATTTGGATACCAATGGGTCACCATTTACCTTGGTAAAAGAAGTTTCAGGCCAGGCTTGGTGGCTCACACCTGTAATCCCAGCACTTTGGGAGGCCAAGGCGGGTGGATCACCTGAGTTCGTGACCAGCCTGACCCAACATGGTGAAACCCCATCTCTACTAAAATACAAAAATTAGCCAGGCGTGGTGGTGCATGCCTGTAATCCCAGCTACTCGGGAGGCTGAGGCACGAGAATCGCTTGAACCCAGGAGGCAGAGGTTGCAGTGAGCTGAGATCACACCGCAGAACTCCAGCCTGGGCAACAAGAGTGAAACTCTGTCTCGAAAAAATAAAAAAGTTTCAGTGGAGCGATAGGGCCAAAAACCAGACTGTAGTGGTTGAAATGTAGTTGGTGTGTAAGGAGTGGATGAGGAAATGGAGGCCACAAGAGAGTGGCCTGTCCTTTAAAGAGCTTGCCTCTGGCAGGGAGACAGCTACAGTGATAAAGTAATAATGGATTTGTTGGGGGTAGGGAGAGAACTAGGGCAAGAAAAACTAGAGCACGTAATGGCTGGAGGGAGACAGAGGAGATAACCCAGAAAGGTGTACCAAAAGAGACAGCAAAAGTGGAAGGTCGCAAGCAGAAATGAACAGGAGGCACAACACATCTTTCTCGGACTCTGGCAGAAGGAGGATTCCTGATAGATCTAAATTTGCAGGTGGAAAGGAGGGAAGCTGAAGTGGATTACAGACAAAATATCCCACAAAGCAGCAAGTTGGGCAGTTCCTGAGTCAGGAGACAAAGTTGGCACTGGGGCTAAAGACTAAGAGTCTGGAATAAATGTCCTGTACAAGAGAAAAGGGAGTTGACAGGGAACAAACACTGATGATTGCTGTGGAGGACCTACCTGAGGATCTCCCCAGCCCTGCAAAGCCATAGACTGCTAACAATCTCCAGGGCTGAACAATCTCCTCCTTCAGTAGTCCTGGGGGAAATGTCACTATTGAGGGTTTTCAGAGCAGAAATGGTAGCGCAAAAGAGTCACGGGGTTGAAGATGCTGAGAAGAGTAGCTGAAGCAACTGACTTCAGGGTCCAAGCTGGGTAGGTTTAAAAAAACAAAAACAAACAAACAAAAAAACAGAAGGGGCCTGGAAATGGGAGAAAGGGTTCAAGAAGTCACTTAGTATCTGGCAATGGCCAGAAAACCAAGTCTTCTGGAAGTGAGAGTTGGAAACCAGAAGGCTCTTATCAGGTTAAAG